>NC_000002.12:24782482-24933997 GCF_000001405.40 Homo sapiens | reverse complement strand
AGGATTCATTGCAACAAGGACTTATTGAGCACCTCCTATTTGCAAAGCACAGCAGATGTGCAGGACAGTGATTTTCAAAGTGGCCTCAGCATCACCTGGGCGCTTGCACATCCCTGGCCAGGCGCGGTGGCTCACGCCTGTAGTCCCAGCATTTTGGGAGGCCAAGGCAGGCGGATTACCTGAGGTCAGGAGTTTGAGATCAGCCTGGCCAACATGGCAAAACCCTGTCTCTACTAAAAAATGCAAAATTAGCCGGCATGGTGGCGCGTGCCTGTAGTCCCAGCTACTCGGGAGGCTGAGGCAGGAGAATCGCTTGAACCCAGGAGGTGGAGGTTGCAGTGAGCTGAGATTGTGCCACTGCACTCCAGCCTGGGTGACACAGTGGGACTCTGTCTCAAAAAAAAAAAAGAGGGCAAATTTGGAAAGCAACTTCTTTTTCTCCCTCCTCAAACGCCTACATTATGAAGCTTTCTGTTGCCTATAGGATAATATCCACGTTCCTACCATTTATTGAGCACTTACTATAGACCAAGTACTTCCTAAGCAATGAAAAAGCATTATATTTGAATCTCACAATAACCCCTTAGGATAAATATTTTATCCCTATACTTTGCATAAGGAAAAGTCCTTAGAGAGGGTAAGTTAATTATCTAAGACTACTGTAGTGGCTGCCTTACGGTCTACCAAAGATGGGCCCACCTAGAACTTCAAAGTGTGACCTTATTTGGAATAGGGTCTTTGCAGATGTGATTAAGGTAAGGACCTTGAGAGGAGATCATCCTGGGTTAAGGCAGGCCCTAAATCCATTGTCAACTCCAAAGAGAAGAGAAGAGGAGAGACAGAGAGGCACACAGAGAAAGGGAGGCTTAGTGAAGCCAGAGGCAGAGCATGGAATCTTAAAGCCCCAAGCAAAGGAGCACCTGAGGCTGCCAGCAGCCACCAGCAGCTGGCAGAGAGGCATGGGCTGGATTCGTCCTCAGAGCCTTCAGAGGGAAACAGCCTTGCCAACACCCAACACACCCCGATTTTGGACCTCTGACCTTCAGAAGCATGAGTGAATAACTTGTTTTAAGCCACCCAGTTTGTGGTAATTTGTTATGCAGCCCTGGGACATGAAGGCAACCATTGAGCTGTTGCAAAAGTGGGACCTGGATTCAAACTGGGGCCTGACTTCAGAGCCCATCCCTATCCGACCTCCTTCCATCTGCCACCTCTGTGTTTCCACCTCTTTACCCTCTCCCGTCCTCTAGGCACACTGAGCGTGTTGTTCTCTGAACACACCATGGCACACGGCCTGTGCCTTTGTCATGCTGCCCTCGACCCAACACGCCCTCCCTCCCCCTCTGTCCACCTGGAAAACTCTCACTCAACTTTTACATCCAGCTCCAACAACTCCTTTTCTGAAAGGTTTTCAGGAGTCTCCTCTGCTGCCCAGGCACATTTAGTAGATCTTCTCCTCAGGAGGGCAGGGTCTCCACAAAAACCTGACCTTTTTAAAAATCTTTGTATCTGCAGTGCTTAATAAAAGCATAAGAAATATTTGATAAATGAATGAATGAATGAATGGCCTCTGTTGCTGAACTGTGAAATAGATTGTAGATCCTTCAACCACATCATTCCCAGCCAAATGAAAAAAGTCACAGAATACAACTGAAAATGTTGAAAACAGGGGTCTCCTTGAGAGTAAGGAAGCAAGAAAAGTGGGGGTACCCTTAACAGCTAAATGTATTTCTCATTAGCTGATCAAATCTTGGTGTAACTTTCTCAATGAAATGTGTTTAACTAGTTCCCTGGTTTATAAAATCTCCTAGGAAAATGACTAGAGTTGGCTTCATTGGGAATCAGACCTGGCCTAGTCATTATCGAGCCACTAGAATAACTAACCTTAGACCTGTCCTATCCAAAGACTGCTTGTTTTAGAGGTAATACATTTTCTCTACTGGTTAAGCCATTTTAAATTGAATATGGGGTAACTTAAGAAAGAAATCATCCCAACAACTGTAATACAACTCAGTCACCTGAAATATTTCTGGTGCAACCTAGACAGACGCCTGAAAACTCTACCATTTGCAATTTATTAAAGAAAAGTTCTGGCCAGGCGCGGTGGCTCACGCCTGTAATCCCAGCACTTTGGGAGCCCGAGGTGGGCAGATCACGAGGTCAGGAGATCGAGACCACGGTGAAACCCTGTCCCTACTAAAAATACAAAAAATCAGCTGGGCGCGGTGGTGGGCGCCTGTAGTCCCAGCTACTCAGGAGGCTGAGGCAGGAGAATGGCGTGAACCCGGGAGGCAGAGCTTGCAGTGAGCCAAGATCGTGCCATTGCACACTCCAGCCTGGGCGACAGAGCGAGACTCAGTCTAAAAAAAAAAAAAAAGAAAAGAAAAGTTCTGCGTGTTAAATTACAAGTTTCACCCTTGAGAGGGACACATCACAAAACTATTAACATTTTAGAATTTATTCATTTATTCCTTCCTCCAAGCATTTATTAATAACCTTTTCTATGCCAGTCACTTGGCTATACTCTGGGATAAGAAATAATGAAGAGTGAGTATCAATTTACAGCTAACATTTAAATCCTCCTTTATATCATTCTCTCTAAAGTTATTTAAATGCAGTTATTTTTAGTTTAAAAGCATGTTTGAATGTAGACTTGATTTAAAAAAAAAAAGATTCCCACTTATAGCTACATTAATGCAAAATTGTGAACAAGAGGAAGGGCCTCCAGCTCTATCCACGTTAATGTGCATGACTTGTTGGGAAGCTCTTAGTGAGAGAAACAAGAAAATATGGACCCCTAGAAAAGCCTGCCCTCGTTCCAGGAAGGTGATAAAAACAGGGGTGCAGACCAAAGCTGAGATGGGCAGGGAGAAGAGAAGCATTGTGCTCACTGTCTGAGGATGTGAGCCCCGGGCTCCTGCTGAAAAGGCAGACAGCCCGAGAACCAGCGAGCAGAGGGTGTGAAGCCAGCAGAAAGGCTGACTCAATGTGAGTGCTTCCTAAAAATAGCAGAGCAGGGTTGTAAGCCTTCCTGTCCAAACAGATGTAAAACTGGCAGGTAGTGTGGGCTGGGCGTGGGGGACTGCGAATGAAAGGAGAGTGGGGGCCTCCTTGACCACAGACCCCAACACTAGGGTTCTGGGTGCACACTCAGCTCTGCCACTTGCTTCCCATTCAGCAGGGGATGGCTGCACGTGGTGCCAGCAGCATCTCAGAATGGGTGACAGACAGAATTGCTAAAACTACTCTGAACCCATTTCACGGAGATGAATTTTAATGGAGTGAAAAAGAAATTTTTTAAATGAAAATTAAAAAGTGTAACATTTTTTTAAGGCCTGATTTTGCCAAAAAAAAAAAAAAAAAACTCAGCACATATTCTACTGAATAGAACACTTTTAGAAAGGTGCCCAGCAGTGCCTGGCATCCCCCATGGGACACAGCAAGATTGGAAAAAGGATGGCAAAGCAGGTGGCTAATTTATTTTCACCACTGCCTGTGCGGGAAACAGCATCTTTTTCAAGAACACAAGAGGGAAAACAATGTCAGCATGAATTATTTAATAGTTATAAAAATTACTATCTGCAAATACTCATGGATATGCTCAGCCCAAAACCTGAATGTGTCTAATGTGAATGTAAGTCAGCCTGAGATTTCATGAGAGGCCTGAGACCCTTGTGGAATGAATACTAGAGAGCATTCTTAGATTTGGACCACTGTCTTCCAGGAGTGATTAGTTTGCATCTTCTCACCGGTTTTCTCCCTCTTTTTTTTTTTTTTTGAGACAGAGTCTCGCTCTGTCACCCAGGATGGAGTGCAGCGGCACGATCTTGGCTCACTGCAACCTCCGCCTCCCAGGTTCAAGTGATTCCTCTGCCTCAGTCTCCCGAGTAGCTGGGATTACAGGCACACACCACCACGCCCAGCTAATTTTTGTATTTTGAGTAGAGACGGGGTTTCGCCATGGTGGCCAGGCTGGTCTCAAACTCCTGACCTTGGTTGATCCACCCGCCTGAGGTGGGAGGTGATCAGCCTCCCACAGTGCTGGGATTACAAGCGTGAGCCACTGTGCCCGGCCCAGTTTTCTCTTGACAGCCTTTCTTTTCCAAACCATCTTTTATCCCAAATCAATCCTCTGGAAGAATGTAGCAGGTCAGGACATGTCATCTACTCAAAAGAATCCTCAACAACTCCTATAAAACACAAAGCCCAAATTTAGATGTTTTAGCTAGGCATTCAAGGCCTTCTGTGATCTTGCCCCTTCCTACCATTCCATATTCCCCAGGGCAGGCTCCAACCCTCCAGGGAGGCCTGTGGCAACCCATATGTCTGTGATGGGGTGAGGAGTTCAAGTCCAAAGTGAAGCATTATCTCAGGCTGTGGCCACACACCTAAGCCCCAGCCTCCAACTCAACTTTCATCCATCTGAAACTGATCTGTTGCGCCCCAACTGCCTGATTTCTGGATCTACTTCCTAAGTGGTTGGGAGCAGGAGCATGAAGAAACGGAATTAAAGACCTAGACTTAACATTCAAATCATTATCACCTCCAGGTGGGGCACTCTCTGGGCTCTGGTCCTGACACAGTGTTTTGAGACAGGAGAGAGGGAAGATGGCAAGAACTGGGGAGACCTGGACACTGAGAGGGGAACAAGGAGAGGGTGCCCTAAATGACCAAGGTGAGCAGAGAAACCTCAGTTTCCACAAATATCAGCCTCACTCTGCTCTGACTTGATAAATAGAATAGCCGGAGCTTGTACTTTTGTTTATAATTTTAAGATATGAAAATGGGTCAGCAATATGGTTTTGTTGTTATTGTTGTTTTTGTTTGTTTGTTTGTGTTTTAGATGGAGTCTCGCTCTGTCGCCCAGGCTGGAGTGCAGTGGCGCAATCTTGGCTCACTGCAAGCTCTGCCTCCCGGGTTCACACCTTTCTCCTGCCTCAGCCTCCCTATTAGCTGGGACTATAGGCGCCCGCCACCACGCCTGGCTAATTTTTTGTATTTTTAGTAGAGACGGGGTTTCACCGTGTTAGCCAGGATGGTCTTGATCTCCTGACCTCGTGATCCACCCATCTCGGCCTCCCAAAGTGCTGGGATTACAGGTATCAGCCACCGCGCCCAGCCGGGTCAGCAGTATGTTAATCAAGCTGGCCTGAGCCCTTCCCGGCCAGGCTGCAGGCCTCCCCTGGGCCAGGGTTGGGTGTTGCCCTGTTGCAGATCTGCTGTCCGGGGCTCCACCTCTCTGACTGGGCTGCTTTCCTGCCTCCCAGGGTGGAGAAGATGTCTCTGGATTTGAACAGATAGGGCTGCTAAGATAAAGGCCCCGCCTCCCCTCCAGTACTGCTGACTCCTCCTGCTTTGTCTTTCCCATGGCCCACCCCTTCTGGTCCACAGTTAAGTTGGCCCCCATCCAAGCAGAGGAGAAGGCATGAGCCCCCCAATTCCTCTAGCAATGACCCAGGATGTCGAGCAGGCCACAGTGTCTAAGTGCCGGGCCTTGGATTCAGAGGTGTGGGTGTAAACATGGGCAGTGCCCTTTGCCAGTTGTGGAACCTTGGGCATGTTAGGAATCTAATCTCAGTGTTTTCATCTGTAAAATGGATATGGCAATTGTACTTACCTCATATGACTGGTGTGCAGATTATATGAGAGAATAAGTAGGCTGGGGCCTAACCAAGGAAAAGCCTGGATGCTAAAGAATTGGGAAGTCAAACAGTCTGAACTGTGTTTCTGGGAGACAATTCCAGTGGCAGCAGAAAGGGGGCTTGGAAAAGTCTTAGAATCCATGAACCTCAGGCATCCATTCAGCTGCTGACTCCAGGTGGTCCCTTGTTCCCAACCAGCCTTCCTGGAACAAGGGATCTGGCCTGTTGCAGCTGAGGGTAACTTGGAAGGGGTGAGGGTGGTGAGGAACCACAGGTGGGAGTTCTTTCTACAGCATTCTCTTGCATTAAAAGATTTCTAGGGTGGCCGGGCATGGTGGCTCACGCCTGTAATCCCAACACTTTGGGAGGCTGAGGCGGGTGGATCACCTGAGGTCAGGAGTTTGAGACCAACCTGGCCAACATGATGAAACCCCATCTCTAATAAAAATACAAAAATTAGCCAGGCATGGTGGCATATGCCTGTAGTCCCAGCTACTCGGGAAGCTGAGGCAGGAGAATCACTTGAACTCAGGAGATGGAGTTTGCAGTGAGCGGAGATCGTGCCTTTGCACTCCAGCCTGGGTGACAAGAGTGAGAAAAAATAAAAATAAAAATGTATAGGACCTCTTTCTTCTCAAAAATCACCCTTTCACAGACCGTTGAGATGATTTCCTCTCCTCCAATTTAACATGGCGAAGGCTCATTTATTTCAGCATCGAGATTAGAAACATTAGAAAAAGTTTTAATGGGAGGAATTAAGATGAGTCCTTCCTCTAATCAGTACTACCGGGATCTATATCACATTAGGAGCCTGCCGTAATAGGCAGAATCATGTCCACGCAAAACGTCACCACCCTAACCCCCAGAAACTGTGACTATGATGCCTTACATGGCAAAAGTGACTTTGCAAACGTGATTAAGTGAAGGATCTCGAGATGGAGAGATTCTCCTGGAACATCCCAGTGAGCCAGATCTAATCACATGCGTCTTTAAGACCAGAGAACTTGTGCCAGCTCCCCAGGATCTCTTAGCCTTGCTTTTCTGGGTGCTAGTGACTTTCCACCCATGAGAAAGACCGTGGGGCTGGGCTGTTCGTCTCCTCCCATCCGGGGCCTTTTCTAGCCACTCTTGTTGTTCTGAAAGCTTCCTGCTCTCTCCTATTCCCCGCAGGCCGCAGGGAGGCTTGTTAGCACACATTTCTATGGTGCCTCTTGCCGGAGGGGCAGGGCTCGCGCGCTTTTGGAAACGTGACGTCCCGCAGAGGCCTCGGAATTACTCAGCATTCACATGCCGTTTCACGCTCCGTGGGCACGTGTCCTTCTCTCCCCAAATTTAACCCCTCTGGGCCTCAATGTCTCCACCAGGGCTGCAGCAGAATGGTGTTTGGAGTCTCTTTCAACTGCCAGCAGGGAGCTGTGACTCTCCAGGATTCGCTCTGAGTCCCTGAGGTCAAGGGCACCCTTGGCTACAGAGAAGCAGTGACAAGCAAAGGAAGCTTCCTGAGCCTTCCTGGTACAGCCGGACTTCTGGGTGGCCAGAGCCTGGGCCTCCGCCCCTTCCTAGCTGGGGCCGGAGCAAGTTACCTCATGTCTCTGCGCTCCCGCTTCTCCACCCGCACAACAGGGACGCCGGGAGTCCCCACCGCGGAAACCAAAGGGAAGAAGGCAGCGCGCGGTGCCTGCAGGGCGGGGCGCAGGAAGGGGAGCTGCTGCCGCTGTCTGGGGATCGGGCCCATGGGTGTTACTGGCACTGTGGCTAGTGTGCCGGTGACATTATTTCAATGACAGACTGTGGAATAGCCACTCTGTTTCAAATACTGGGCAGGAGGAACCAGGGACCCTGGTCCTTGCTCCCAAGGAGACGCTCACACCTGCCAAGGGGCAAAGACCCGGAACCAAGCCCAGCACCAGCCTGGGTGCCTGGATGTCTTCACTGCGCATCCTCAGCCCGCTTCCCTCTGCCTGCGTCAGGGGCCTAGAAACAGCACCCGAGGGCAGCCAGCAGAGCCCACGTCCTGTGTGGATGGCACCGATCGAGGAGAGGAGAGGGAAGAGGTGAGGCGGGCACCCACCAGGACGGATGATGCAACCCAGGCACATGCATGCACACTTACACACACACGTGAAGGTTCGTTTTCACACACTCACAATCATACACACTCACAAACGTGAAGGTAGGTTCTCACAATCACACACACCCACTCACACACAAACATGAAGGTACGTTCTCACAATCTCACACAACCACTCAGAATCACACACAAACGCAAAGGTGTGTTCTCACAAACTCACAATCATACCCACTCACATTCACACACAAACGTGAAGGTACGTCTCACACATAGTCACGCTCACACACCCACTCACACACACAAACATGAAGGTACATTCTTACACCCAATCACACACACCCATTCACACTCACAAATGTGAAAGTACATACACACAACCACACATACCCACTCACGCACGAAGGTACGTTCTCACAATCACACACTCATTCACACACAAACGTGGAGGTATATTCTCACACACAATCACACTCACACACCCACTCACACAAACGTGAAGGTACATTCTCATACACACAATCACACACACACAGTAACATGAAGGTACGTTCTCACACAATCACACACACCCACACAAACGTGAAGTACGTTCTCACACACAATCACACACACCAACACACAGGAACATGAAGGTACGTTCTCACACACACACACCCACTTACACTCACACAAACATGAAGGTACATTCTCTCACACATACACAATCACACCCACCCACACACACAAACGTGAAGTACATTCTCACACAATCATGCTCACATACCCACTCGCACACACAAACACGAAGGTACATTCTCACACGCACACAATCACACACACCCACACACACACAAACATGAAGCAACATTCTCACACACTCGCACTCACATACCCATTCACACACAAATGCAAACGCACATTTTCACATGCACATTTACACCCCCACACACAAACACGAACATATGTTCTCACACACGCGCTCACACACAAACATGAAGGTACAATTCTCACACACATGCCAACATGAACGTACATTCTCAGACATGCACACTCACATATCCACTCATACACACAAATGTGAAGGAACGTTCTCACACACACACACTCCCCACTCTCACACCCACACACATTCCTCACACCCCTCCTCACATTCACAGCCCTACACACACGCTCTTACACCCATCCACAGTGCCCAAGGAGTGACCCTGTGAGAGTCAGGGAGGCTCCAACACGGGGCAGAAGGGAGAGACCAGGGACAGAGACAAAGAAGGGAGGACACAGGGTCAGATGGGCCAGTGCTGTCGATACTGTTAGAGGAAGACTGCGCTGGAGTCGCGGGGCCCCAGATGCAGCCATGGAGGGGACTGGGGGCAGGCAGCCAGCCAGCTGTGCAGGCCATGCTGGGGCAGAAGTGCTCACGGCTGCTCAGCTGTCTGCTGTGAGATAATGGTAACTCCAGTTGATTTGTTGAGATCTGCCCACCATGTTGGTCCCATGAATCCCCTACTTCCTGACAAGGATCCTGACTAAGGGTTAGTGCTGTCACTGCACCACAGAGACACAGGCTTGTGGGGGCTGAGTAATTGGTCCGAGGTGCTCAGCTCTCATCAAGGCCATGCTCAAAACTGAGCTCTCTGATTCCAGGGAGCCAGCTTTCCCTAGGGTACCACACACCTCTCCTCCAGGTGACAGGATCCAAACTGCTGAGCCTCTGAGCCAGCAGGAATGGATGAGGGGTGTGGGCCCTGCACAGGATGCTTGAGTATCACATGCCACATCCCCCCGGTCCCCCTCTCCACTCCCGTTACTGCTGCAGGCACACCCCAGCAGCACCTTGCCAGGTATCTGCACTGAGGATCCCTCGTTTCCTGCCCAGTCCGCTCACTGCTTAGCCTCCTTTGCACAAGAGCCAGGGAGAGAATACCCCAACTGGCAACCCTTAACCAACAGGGAAGGATGAAAGGAGGACGAACACCCACCTTTGCCAGCCCTCCAGTGGAAAGCTCTGAGGTGCCTTCTGCAAGGCTCATCAGAGGGTCCCAGCAGGATCAAGGCCCCCTCCCACACCAGTGGCCAACTCCGTCACAAACCCTCATATTTACCGGCTTTCCTGCCTTCTCTGTTTTGAGCTTCCCAGGCTCCTGCTCTGTTTCCCTGGAATCACTTCCCCAGTTGAACCACCTGCATGCAGGCCGGGTCTCAAGCTCTGCTTTCAGGCCCCAGACAGGGCTCTCCTGGTGCCCAGCACCAGGGGAGCTAATGATCTTCTCTCTCCCACTTCTGTTTTCCCCCAGGACACAGAGTTCTGCTCTGATCTATTGTTTGCTGGATTCAAGAGCCACCACATTCCCCGGGGGGGCCAAACCATTCTTGTTTATCCAGTAACAATTAATTCTCAGCCATGATTTCTAGTCTTGAACCACACAAACAAAAAGTTGCCTTCAGCAAAGAGGCATCCCATCCAGGCAGATGCTGGATTGAGGTTGGGGGGGGTCAGGATGCCCTCCAAGCTTCGACCTAAGTCTATGATTCTGTCTTCCTTTTAGGACAAGCCACAGGGGCAAGTCACCCATGCAGCCATTTGAGGTCCTGAGTTGTGTGTGTATAGATTTCCTGTATCATTTGATTATAAAAGCGAAGCATGCCAGTTGTCCAGGTTACATCAATACAAAATGTATAGCTTGGAAAGTGAAAACAGCTCCCCCATAATCCCACCCTTTTCACTCGAGGGTGGATATTTTTCATTGCCCTGGGACCAGGACATTCTCAGTATCAGGGAATGAGGCCAGCTGGTCCCTTCAAGGACAGCCAGTGCCTTTATAAAGTACCATTTCTTCTTAGGGAGACTTCCATTCATTCAATGACTATTTTTTGAGTATCTACTAGGTGCCAGGTACTGGGGAAGCCACTGTGAGTGAGATGGATGAGGCCCTCGCGGCATTTTCCCTGATCTCCTCTGTGGCAGGATGTCAAGCAGCTCTCTTGCCCAGGAATATTCACCCAGATGCTTCTGGCTCCCCGGGAGTCCTCGCAAGGGCCTACTGCTGTCCCACTGCGTTTCCCATATCCACAGGGAAAGGCCGTGCCAGAACCCTGAACGCGGAGCAGGGATGGGAATGTGCTGTGCTCTTCCTGCGGCTGGGCCTTTGCAGGGAGGCTCCAGCCACCTGGAACGCCTGCCTTTCAGGCCCATCAGATCCTTCCCTCTTGCCCTGAAAGGCCCTGTCTCTGATCACCTCAGCCAGAAGTCACCCCCAACTGTAACCTGTGTACACCTGAGGGTCTGCCTCATGAGTCAACATGGTGCCTTGGCAGAACTATAAGGCTCCTCTGGTTTCCCCAGTGCCCGCTGAACAGGGGCCCACAGAGGAGAGATAGGGATGGTGGAAGAACAGGGAGTGGGACAGTGAAGCCAGCAGGCAGGGGCTGGAGAGGCAGGGATCAATTTGTTGTTGTTCTTTTTATATGAGGGTGCCTCTGTGTGGAACTCTCTCCCTTCATGGGGTGGGAGGCTGGGGCATGAGTGGTGGCAGAGGGCCCAGCAGAGAACCCTCTCAGCTTAGGAGCTGGGCATGGCCTTGCGGACAGGGTGCCACACTGAGAATCACAGGGCTGGCATGTATGCCAAGGAAGGGGAAGGGACCCACAGAGGGTGCAACATGGTGTCTCTTGTGCCAAAGCAGGACCAAGCACAAGATTTATCAGCCTTTTAAAAAACATTAGCACATCTCTCCCCCAACCCCCACTTTTTTTTGAGATAGGGTCTCATTCTGTTGCCCAGGCTGGAGTGCAGTGGTACGATCTTGGCTCACTGCAACCTCTGCCTCCTAGGGTCAGGCGATTCTCCCACCTCAGTCTCCTGAGCAGCTGGGACTTCAGGCACCCGCCACCACGCTCGGCTAATTTTTGTATTTTTTGGTAGAGACAGGGTTTTGCCATGTCAGCCAGGCTGGTCTCGAACTCCTGACCTCAAGTGATCTGCCTGCCTCGGCCTCCCAAAGAGCTGGGATTACAGGCATGAGCCACTGCGCCTTGCCGTACATTACATCTCCCTTTGTAAAACATAAAAGTCATGTCCTCTTTAACATCATGTGACAATTCAAAATAAATGTTTAAACCTCCAGCAAAGTCCAGGCATGATGGCTCACACCTGTATTCCCAACACTTTGGGAGGCTGAGGCAGGCAGATCACTTGAGGTCAGGAGTTCGAGACCAACCTGGCCAACATGATGAAACCCTGTCTCTACTAAAAATACAAAATTTAGCCAGGCATGGTGGCAGGTGCCTATAATCCCAGCTACTTGGGAGGCTGAGGCAGGAGAACTGCTTGAACCCAGGAGGCGGAGGTTGCAGTGAGCTGAGATGGCCACTGCACTCCAGCCTGGGCGACAGAGTGAGACTCTGTCTCATAAATAAATAAATAAATGCCTTCCTTTTTAAAAAACAAAAACAAAAAACAAACCACAAATAACTCCCTCCAAAAAAAATCCCCCCCAAAACCCAAAAACCTCCAGCAAATTAAAACAATGGGGCAGCCCAGAGCAGTGGCTCATCCCTGTAATCCCAGCACTTTGGGAGGCTGAGGTGGGCGGATCACTTGAGGTCAGGAGTTCAAGACCAGCCTAGCCAACATAGTGAAACCCCATCTACTAAAAATACAAAAATTACCCCGGGCTTGGTGGTGTGTGCCTGCAATCCCAGGTATTCAGGAGGCTGAGGCAGGAGAATTGCGTGAACCTGGGTGGTGGAGGTTGCAGTGAGCTGAGATCACAACACTGCACTCCAGCCTGGGTGACAGAGTGAGACTCAGTCTCGAAAAAATAAAAAATAGAAATAAAATAAAACAATGGGGCAAAGTTTTGCTTTATTTAAATTACCAAACTCCTATATCTGATGTTAGGTCCCCTACCTTTGGAATCAAAGCCCTGCGAAGTATGGGCTGAAGGTGGCGCCTTTTCAGACAGAGTGTGAGGGAACGGTAGAAACAGCAGTGGCAGGATCGATTCTCTAATGGATCCATTCCCCGAGGGATGCAAGGTGATGCCTGAGGTTCTGGAAGGGGTGCCCGCGGATAACTCTCAGGGGCATGGGGTGGCAGCTCCATCCAGGGTCTGGATAGCCAAGTTTCTCTCCCCTCTGTTCATTCCTTCAGCTCTCCCCAGGGGAGATGACCCCCTATTGCTGCTGGCTGTCCTCAGCACTTACCTTCCCACACATGCTTTTGTCCCTTTTGTCCCAAAACATTCTATCTCTTTCCTCTTCCTTTATTTAAATTCCCAAAGCCTGTAGTTGATCTTAGCACGGTGTTCTGTCAAATGCAAGGAAAATAATTTATACTATGGTGTAAGAGACTGATAGGTTTAACTATTCAAAGGAGCATTCGCATCTTTAAGGGACAGTTTGTGAACTCAAACACATCTCAAACGGGTAGAATGTGCACGGGAAATCTCTTCGAAGCAGGGTCTCAGGAACTCTTCCAGTTCCACGTGTGTAGTGCCCACCGGGCCACCGCCACCCGCCTCCTGGGAGCAGGACAGGGCTCCGCTGCCGAGCCCCTCTGCGGAAAGCTCAGGCCCGGCGCTCCGGAGTCTGGGCTCCCGGGGTGGGCGGGGATACTTAGGCCCCACGTGCCCCGCGGCGGAGCGGTCCCCAAACCTGAGCCCTGGCCTCTGCCGGCCCGGAAGGAAGCCGCGGCGGAGGAGGGGGCGGCGGGGTGCCCCGAGCGCGCCTCACCTGCGGGCGGGCGCGTCCCGGGCTTCCATCCTCCTAGACCGGGCCTCCTCGCTGGAAGGGGTGGATTCGCCCCAGCCCTGCCGCCCACCGCCCACCGCCCACGCCCGCGCCCGCGCCCGCGCTTCCACGCAGCCATCGCCCCAGCCCGCCGCCCGCGCCGGATCGGGGGCCGCCCGGGCCCCTCCACCTCTCGCCCGCGCGGGTCCTGGGACCGCCGCCCGGCGCCTCCCTCGCCGCCCCACTCCGGAACGCGCCGCCGAGAGGGCGGAGACTGGGGCGAGGGAGGGGCCGCCCCGCCCGCCTCCCGCCTCCCGCCTCCCGCCTCCCGGGGCCTGGAGCGCGCGTGGCCCCGGAGCCGCCGGCGCCGCGCGGGGAATAGCTGTGCAGCACGCCGAGCCCGGACTCGGCTGGCTCGGCTCGGCGCGGGCGGGCGAGAGGATGCTGGCGGGCTTCCCCGGGCTCGGCCCGCGCTCCCGCCGGGGAGGGCCCCGCGCGCGCCCCTAGCAGCCGCCGCCGCCGCGGGTGCAGGGGAGGGGTCCGGAGAGCCGCGCTCGCCGCCGCCCGCGCCTGCCGGCCCCCGCACGGCCCCTGCCCCTGAGCCTCAGCCCCAGGGCGGGCGCGCTGGGCCGGCGCCCACGGATCTCCCAGCCCTCGTCGCCGCCTCCTCCTTCCCCCTGCGGCCGGGCGCCCGCGGATGCTGAGGGGCAGCCCTGCGCCTCTCCCGGTCGGATCCCGGGCCTGACGGCGGGAGATCGCGCTCCGGCCGGGCCCCGAGGCGCTGCCGGGGCGGCGCGGCTCTGCGGGGAGCAGCCCTCGGGCGCGCCGAGCTCTCCCGCCCCAGCCCGCGCGGGGACCGTCCCGGAGCACGCGGTGGCCGAGTTCCCGCACAGGTAAACGCAGGGGCAGGGCCAGGCTTCCGGGGGGGAAGACAGCGCCCCGAGCGTGGGAAGGGGGCCGGATCGGAGCCCGAGCCTCCAAGGGTTTGGTGGAAAAAGGAAGTAAACAGAAGGAAGGCTCAGGAATCCCCCACGATGGTCCTGATTTCTTTCCGGCACATTTTATTTACAGCTTCTAAGGACTGGGCCTGGAGGGAATTTAGGTGAGGAAGTCGGGGACTGAGAAAGAAGAGATGACAGAGAGAAACCGGTTACCAGGGATGGAAAGGCGGCTAGGCCCTTCCACAAGCCAGGGACAGGAAATTGAGTGTCTGGCGTGGACAGGACTAAGTGTGCCTGCGGTGGGCGGTGGTGTGAGCCGGGGGTGGCAGGGAAGGCCCTGGGTTGGGAGGCTCTTGCAGCAGAGATCCTTTTATGAGGGTTAGGGCGGGTCATGGGGAAACCGCAAGGTAGGAGGGAAGAGGTGCTTCTACTCAGCAATGCCCTTTTCAGTTCTAGCTGATCAGTGCTACCTGTGCTCTGGAAACCCGCTCTGCGTTCCTGCTGGAGGTGGCCTCCCCTCCGCCCCAGACAAGAAGAGGCCCTCAGCCCTCCCCCGGTCTCAGAGAGCCCTGAGAGGAGGCCCAGTCCAGAGCTCTTCCTCCGTTCCCAGTCCACTTCTCTAGGGCCAGTAGCAGACACCAGCCAGTATGCCGAGGAACCAGGGCTTCTCCGAGCCCGAATACTCGGCCGAGTACTCAGCCGAGTACTCCGTCAGCCTGCCCTCCGACCCTGACCGCGGGGTGGGCCGGACCCATGAAATCTCGGTCCGGAACTCGGGCTCCTGCCTGTGCCTGCCTCGCTTCATGCGGCTGACTTTCGTGCCGGAGTCCTTGGAGAACCTCTACCAGACCTACTTCAAAAGGCAGCGCCACGAGACCCTGCTGGTGCTGGTGGTCTTTGCAGCCCTCTTTGACTGCTACGTGGTGGTCATGTGTGCTGTGGTCTTCTCCAGCGACAAGCTGGCTTCCCTCGCCGTGGCTGGAATTGGACTGGTGTTGGACATCATCCTCTTCGTGCTCTGCAAAAAGGGGCTGCTCCCGGACCGGGTCACCCGCAGAGTGCTGCCCTACGTGCTGTGGCTGCTCATAACCGCCCAGATCTTCTCCTACCTGGGCCTGAACTTCGCGCGTGCCCACGCGGCTAGTGACACGGTGGGCTGGCAGGTCTTCTTTGTCTTCTCCTTCTTCATCACGCTGCCCCTCAGCCTCAGCCCCATCGTGATCATCTCCGTGGTCTCCTGTGTGGTGCACACGTTGGTCCTGGGGGTCACCGTGGCCCAGCAGCAGCAGGAGGAGCTCAAGGGGATGCAGCTGCTGCGGGAGGTGAGTCCTGCCCACTGTCCCCCCACAGCGTCCTCTCCTGCAGCTCTCACCAACTTGGGACCTGTTGGAGTTGCTGTTTGCTTTGCCTTTGAGTCAAAATGTGTCCTGGGGGCCTCCGGGGCTCTCACCTCTCTCCCTAGTCCCTGCCTTTTCACCCCTGTGCCATTACCCGGAGTCTGCCTGTGCTTGGCCCCAGGGAAAGGAGGATGTCAGGGCATTGGGCCTCAGGGCCACTCTTCACCTGTGCCCAGTCTAAGTGTGTGACAGGAAGGCCCACCCAGGGCTGGTCTTGAGGCAGCATTGTCCTGGCCATTCCCTGTCAGTGACCCTGGCAAGGAGGACCTCCCTTGGGAAGAGGGCTCCTTGATTCCCATCTCTCCCCAGCACTGACTAGCTGTGTGGACTCAGTGCCCCTTTGTCAAATGGGGATAACGTCCGCTCTGCCTGCATGACACGGTTGTTGTCAGGATTGCAGGAGATGTGGGGGAAAGCGCATTAGGATACGTGAAGGGCTGCACAGAGGGAAGACGCAGTTGTCATATTTCCTGCCTCCGGGAGCTCGGGGTGCCTGGGGAGTTCTATGAAGTGGAGAATGGTGGTCTCCCCACTGAAGGTGTGGTGTGGGGATGCAAATGGGGACAGTCATGCCGGCCACTGTGACGTAGGGTCTCCTGGTCCTAAAGCACGCATTCTGCTGGTCCTGGAGCACGCTTTCTACTGGAAGGGGTGGAATTTCGGCCTCAGCTTAACTATTATAGTATTGTGTTCCCACCAAGTGCCAGGCCCTCAGGGGCTGCAGAGACCAGGGGACCTGAGGGACAGTAGGCAGTGTGTGTCCCTGGGGAGCCAGCAAGCCGGTGACCAGAGAATGAGGCGGAGATGTCTGCATCTGGGTTTGGTGCCCAGCCTGCCAGCCTCGTGCCAATGATGGTCAAGAGAGGCTCCCCCACTTCCTGCCCCTGCAGTGCTCTGTCTGGTAGAGATGTCTTAACTCCCACGCCAGCTCTGTTCTGTGGTTAGTGGGGCTGGGGTAGAGTCAGCTCTGAAGCGGTGACCTTCTGGGTGTCAGGAGAGGCAGGGCGTGCCCAGAATCCTTGCTGACTGACGTGAGCCTCTAGCAGCCATGGAGGTCAGTGCCTGGGTCCTGGAGACCAGGTGCTATGTGCAGGCCCAGGGTGGACAGACAGAATCTTCCACTCCTCTGCTGATTTCTCCACTCATGTCTCATCCTGCTGATTTGTTCTAGAAATGGGTAGAGGATGTTAACATAGGCAGGGCCTGGCAGGGCATCTAGCCCAGACTACCCATTTTACAGAGGAGGAAACAGAGATGAGTGATAACTGGTTCACTGTCACCCAGCACTTTGGTGGCAGAAACAGGACGGGAGCCCAGGCATTGACCCCCAGCCCAGGGCTCATTTGTGTATGTTCCTTGGAGCACTGAGAGCTGCCTGAGAGCAGGAGCTTTGCTTCCCACCCCACCTCCTGGAGACAGTGGCTATGTGCTGCCCTGCCGTCCCCACCCCAAATCTCTGTAGAGGGGGCTGTGAGTTTCTGGTCATTGACTAGGTGGAAACACCAGTCATATCTCTTCAGGCCATGCATTAGCCAGTCCCAGGTTCTTTTTTTTTTTGAGACGGAGTCTTGCTTTGTTGCCAGGCTGGAGTGCAATGGCGCGATCTCAGCTCACTGCAACCTCCGCCTCCCAGGTTCAAGCTATTCTTCTGCCTTAGCCTCCTGAGTAGCTGCGATGACAGGCACGCGCCTCCACGCCTGGCTAATTTTTGTATTTTTAGTAGAGACAAGGTTTCACCATGTTGGCCAGGATAGTCTCGATCTCTTGACCTCATAATCCGCCCGCCTCGGCCTCCCAAAGTGCTGGGATTACAGGCGTGAGCCACCATGCCCAGGCATCCCAGGTTCTAAGGTCTGAGGTCTGAGGATGACTGGTCTCTCTAGCTCCATCTCCTCAGGTGGACAAGGAGCTTATTTTGAGGCTCCTGGAGCTTCCAGGGAAAAGGACTGAGAAGGTATGGCCACAGGGCTGGGCCGGGGCCTGGGTGCCCCACCACGTG
Organism: Homo sapiens; assembly: GCF_000001405.40. Classification (NCBI taxonomy): domain Eukaryota; kingdom Metazoa; phylum Chordata; class Mammalia; order Primates; family Hominidae; genus Homo; species Homo sapiens. Next base: position 24,916,238 of record NC_000002.12, on the reverse strand, counting down.
GCTACTCGGAGATCACTTCTAAACTCATGATTGTTCTCCTTTGAGTATTGCTAAGACATAAAACCCTAAAACTTAGAAAACAGAAAAAAAAAGATAGAAATCAAGAATAAAAATATTAGCATCCCAGGGGAGCCTGACCTTGGCATGCAAGCAGTGCCTGGGAGGCAGCTTTGGGAACAGAGCAGGAGGGGCAGAGAGCTCTCAAGGTCCGATTGGGAGCCTGAGATCGAAGGCAGGAGGCCCCAGCTTACAGTGGGCTGTGTTCCAGAAGCTTCTGAGTCACTGGTTTGGGACTAATGTGACTTTTTAAAAGGTGCCTGGGTTCCCAGGCCCACCCACCAGGGTCTTCCTCAACTCACAGCATCCCGGCATTTGGCCTCTGAAGATGGTGGAAATGGGGCCGGGCATGGTGGCTCATGCCTGTAATCCCAGAACTTTGGCAGGCTGAGGCGGGCGGATCACCTGAGGTCAGGAGTTCAAGACCAGCCTGGCCAACATGGCGAAACCGCATCTCTACTAAAAATACAAAAATTAGCCAGGTGTGATGGGGCGTGCTTATAATCCCAGCTACACAGGAGACTGAGGCAGGAGAATCACTTGAACCTAGGAGGCAGAGATTGTAGTGAGCCGAGATCGCACCACTGCACTCCAGCCTGGGCGACAGAGTGAGACTCCATCAAACAAAAACAAAAACAACAAAAAACACAAGCTGCAGCAGCCTGTGTTGCTGTGGGGAGGGACACCCGGGACAGCGGTCTCCCCTGAGCCCTGGAGTGAGGTGTCATTCATCTCCCCTGCTGCCGTTGCCTCCTGGGATGTGGGCCCCATCAAGGATCGGGGGCAAGGGCTGGAGGACAGGATGCAAGAACCAGGGGACCAGGCCCCTTCTGGTCAGGGTAGGTCCCAGAACTTTCTCCAGACCCCAGGCACCGCCTTTCTCCTACCCATGTGCTTGCCCTTGTCTTTCTCTCTCCCATCCCCTGTCGGCTCTGGCTGGGGACTCCCTCCAGGGTCAGTGGGGGATGAACGCAGTTTCCCAGTTCGAAATAGACACCTGGATTTCTGGGTTCTTGTGAGTTTTGTGGTTTTGTTGCTGCTGTCACTGGCAGCATGAAGAAGCATTGCCAGTGTCAAAAGTCTTCTTCCTCTGCAGCCCTTATCCCCCCATGCCCATGCGCAGCTCTGTGGGGAAGGACAGAAGGTACACATGGGGCTGTTGGCAGCCTGAGAGGTCAGAGGCCAGCCAGACAACCTGTCCTGGGCTCCTCGCAGGAGGCCAGTGGGTGGGGTTCTGACAGGAAGAGCAGGTGATCAGGGAGTGTGGGATGGGGTGGGGCTGGGGCCCCACCAATGAGTTAATGAGTGAATATTGCCGAGCAGCATGGGCCTTGCAGCCTGCAAGGTCAGGGGATAAGGAGGATGAGGCCATCTGACACTCAGGCTGTGCTGGGGCGGGGAGGATGTTCTGAGAGCCACCTTGGGTGGGCAGAGACCTAGCCAATGGTTCTCACGACCCATCCTCTAGCCCCTGCCTGTCCCCCATTCCTTTTTTTTTTTTTTTTTGAGACAGAGTTTCATTCTTATTTCTGAGGCTGGAGTGCAATGGCACAGTCTTGGCTCACTGCAACCTCCTCCTCCCGGGTTCAAGTGATTCTGCTGCCTCAGCCTCCCAAGTACCTGGGATTACAGGTGGCCGCCACCACGTCTGGCTAATTTTTTTGTATTTCTAGTAGAGACAGGATTTCACCATGTTGGCCAGGCTGGCCTCGAACTCCTGACCTCAGATAATCCGCCTGCCTTAGCCTCCCAAAGTGCTGGGATTACAGGTGTGAGCCGCTGTCCAGAGGAGGGAACAGAGGACGAAACAGAGATGGGTGATAACTGGTTCACTGTCACCCATCACTTTGGTGGCAGAAACAGGACGGGAGCCCAGGCGTTGACTCCCAGCCCAGGGCTCATTTGTCTGTGTTCCATGGAGCACTGATTGCTGCTCCATGGGTCCCCCATCCCAAGAGGCAACACAGGCCCAGAGCAGCCGGAAGGGAGGACAGATGGATCAGGAGGAGCCGAGGCTGGCAGTGTTTGCCCATTTCGCTCCCCTGGCCTGGGTCCTGCCCCAGGACCTGTTACGGAATTACTTGCCCTTTACTGCCCTAAACTGCCCCTGGGCTGGGTGAGGAGGAAGGAGGGGACTGGGCTCAGGACCAGGACCTGCAGGACCAGCGGCCAATGAGTGCGGACAATGGGGAAGGCAGCCAGGATGGTTGGGGGTGGTGGTGGGCGGGGCGTGCCTTTAGCATTTGGCAAAGTAGGGACTAGGAACTGCTGACAAATATTTTGTACCCTTACTTCAGAGCAGAAAGGCTATTTGGGAGCAAAATTCTCTCATGGAATGAAGAGCCTGTTAAGACCTTTTTTCACCAAGTAAAACATGAGGAAGCTGTGGATGTGCAGTTTCTTTCACACCTGCAAATTACACAGCAATCATTCACCCAGCAAAGGAACATTTGCTCCTAGGGGCTGGAGGGAGCTGCCGTAGGGAGGGTGAGAGGAAACTGAGGCTTCCAGAGACACCCTGTCTGCAGACGGCAGGTAGCTGTTGCATGCACCTCATCCCATTTAATCCTGGATGTTACTGGCTCCATTTCACAGATAAGGGGACTGAGGCTCAGTGAGGTTGAGAGGAGGTAGTGGGGCTGGATTACAGGGGAGGGGTCACTGATGAGTGAGAAAGGTGGGTTGGGGGACTTCCCTGAAAGCCTCTCTTTCTCTGGAACCCAGGCATCTGGGCCTCCTACTTTTCTGGCTGCCCCCAAATGTCTTTGCTAAGCAACGTAGCTGAACAGTGCCAAGAGATGGCAGTCCCTAAGGTATAACAGGAGGCACCCCCTTCTCCCCATGGGAATTGGATGCAAAGAAGGGAGAAGCCCATGACGATGTTCCCTGTGGGCACGTGGCCAGGAGTACTTGAGAAAGGCAGGGGGCTGAATCGGGACAGGAGCTGGTGTGAGGTGCGGTGGGCAGGAAGCAGCAGGCCTGGGGGCTTTCAGCCTTCAGGAAGCAGGCTGCAGGGAGAGGTGTGCAGGACACAGAGCAAGAGGAGGCAAACTCAAGCCAGTCCTGGCTCTTTGGCCCTGGGCTCCTCCACTGACCCGGGACGGGAAAGAAGCCGTCATCCCTCCGTGGAGAGTATGCAGATGGGCATCAGTGGAGGGTCCAGGGACCAGAACAATGATGACGTGCGTAGAAGGGGACTGCAGGGCCATCAGATTCAGCTGCATGTGAGGAGGAATAATCAGTCATTGAACATGTAAACAACTTTGCAGAAAATCAACCCCTCCATCCTTTCCCTGTCGCAGCTTTCTGTGGCCTTTTCTGACCCCGATCTGTGTATAAACAGAGCTTTCCCAGTTTGTCATCATCATGCATATGCAATTTAGGCCCCACCTTTCATCCACATTATTTCCCTGACATTTTGCTGTGAACACTGGACTCCTCGTGTTTATTATTTTAAATCAGCGCTTTATAGTCAGCGAGTTTTTCTAGAGAGGAAACGGAAGCCCAGGGCTGGGCCAGGGGTGGGTAACTGGGTAGTTTTATATGCACATGCAGGCACACACACACACACACACATGCACACACACACACACATGCACACACACACACACATGCACACACACACACACATGCGTGCTCACTCCTGGGCTTGGTCTGCCCAGCCTTCTGGGTAAACCCTCCGTCAGATGGAATGGCTGGGATGCCAGGGTTATTGGCATTCTGCAGTTTCTTCATAAACAAACAGCAAATCCCACGAGGGTGGTCTAATGCTGGGTAAATATTCCAACACCACCCTCTGCCCCTGGCTGCCCCCCCACCAAATTACACATTCTTTTTGTTTTTTCTTTTTTTCTTTTTCTTCTTCCTTTTTTTTTTTTTCAAATAGAGACAGAGTTTCACCATGTTGCCCAGGCTGGGCCTGAACTCCTGAGCTCAGGCGGTTCACCCACCTCGGCCTCCTAAAGTGCTGGATTACAGGTGTGAGCCACCATGCCCAGCCATCACCAAATTACACGTTCTTGATAATAGATTCCACGGGTATGTGCTATCACCAACACGGAGACTCAGAGACACATTGTGCGTAGGTCGAGGCCCATGAGCAGGGACAGTGAGGAGGTGGCTGTGTTTACTGAGCTCTTGCTCTGTTACAGTTTAGTGCCTTCTGGCAAGAGGCAAATATTATTTCCATTTTACAGATCAGGAAACTGAAATGGGTGACAACTGAAATGACTTGTCCAGGGCCACATGCCTAGTAAGAGGCAGAGCAGGATTGGAGCCCAGGTCAGTAGGATTTTGGAGTTCCTTCTCACTGGAGTCATAAAAGAACCCATTAGGCGGTGACCAGTAGCTCATGCCTGGAATCCCAGCACTTTGGGAGGCTGAGGCAGGAATATCACTTGAGGCCAGGAGTTCAAGACCAGCCTGGGCAACATAATGAGACCCCATCTTCATACACACACACACACACACGTACACAACCACCAAAAAAAATTCAGCTGGGCTTGGTGGTGTGTGTGTGTGTGTTTTTTTTTTTTTTTTTTTTTGAGTCTGTCTCCCAGGCTGGAGTGCAATGATGCTATCTTGGCTCACTGCAGCCTCCGCTTCCCAGGTTCAAGCAATTCTCCTGCCTCAGCCTCCCAAGTAGCTGGGATTTCAGGCACCCACCACCATGCCTGGCTAATTTTTTTTGTATTTTTAGTAGAGACAGGTTTTCACCACAGTAACCAGGCTGGTCTCGAACTCCTGACCTCAGGTGATCCACCTGCCTCGGCCTACCAAAGTGCTGGGATTACAGGCATGAACCACAGCGCCCAGGCTGATGGTGTGTGTCTTGTACAGGAGGCTGGGGAGGGGGATGGCTTGAGCCCAGGAGTTTGAAGTTACAGTGAGCTCTGATCATACCACCCCACTGCAGCCTGGGGAACAGTGAGACCCCATCTCAAAAAAAAAAAAAAAAAAAAAAAGAACCCTTATATCTTCCCTCGGAGCCTGTTGAGATAGTTCCAACGGGGTTAGGGTTTTGGTTTCTCAACCCACAAGCATTAGAAGGAGCAATTTGGGGGATGAGGAGGTGTTTTTGGGGGCATCTTCAAGGAACAGAGATGTCTGGGGTGTTGAGTGTTGCAACCAACAGCCCTCATATGCACCTTCTCTGGCTGTAGGAGGCGTTGTTACATTATAGGACAGCATAGTAACTGATGTGCATAATGGTGACCAACTCATCAAGAAAATATTAAGGCCAGGCGCGGTGGCTCACACCTGTAATCCCGGCACTTTGGAAGGCCGAGGTGGGTGGATCACGAGGTCAGGAGATCGAGACCATCCTGGCCAACATGGTGAAACCCTATCTCTATTAAAATACAAAAAATCAGCCGGGCGTGGTGATGCACGCCTGTAGTCCCAGCTACTGGGGAGGCTGAGGCAGGAGAATTGCTTGAACTTGGGAGGCAGAGAGTGCAGTGAGCTGAGATTGTGCCTGGTGACAGAGGGAGACTCTGTCTCACAAAAAAAAAAAAAAAAGAAAAGAAAAGAAAGGAAATATTAAATTGCATTTAGCATAAAGTGTAGTGTAGTATCTAAAAACATTTTCCTCGGGAATGGATAACACAAGTTTGAACAAATAAGGATTATATTTGGAAATTCAGTAATGTGGGATGGCTCATTACTCAGTGTTACTGAGTATATGTCCATTTATTCACCATGTGTTTTAGTTATCCACTGCTGTGTAACAAACAGCCCCAAAATTTGGAGGCTTAAAAGAGTAACAGTTTAAACCTGGGCAACATGGCAAAACTCTTGTCTCTACAAATGGTACAAAAATCAGCCAGGCATGGTAGCATGTGCCAGTAGTCCCAGCTACTCAGAAGGCTGAGGTGGGAGGATTATGAGCCCCGGATGCTGCAATGAGCCATGATCGTGACACTGCACTCCAGCCTGGGTGACAGAGCAAGACCGGTCTCAAAAAAGAATAAAAAAAGAATGACAGTTTATTGTTTCTCATGATCCTGTGGGTTGACTGTTCAGCTGGGTGGTTTTTGTGCTTCACGTGGCATGGGCTGGGGTCACTCATTTGTCCACCTGCGCTGTTTCATTCACCTGCAGCATTCAGTTGCCAGCTATGCTGGCAAGTTCTAAGAAGCCTTTACTCATGTCTGGAGCCTCAGAGCTCCTCCTCCTGACCTCTCCATGTGGCTAACTTGGGCTTCCTCACAGCATGGTGGTCTCAGAGAGAAGGTGGAAGCTATCACAGTTTTTAAAGGTTAGGCTCATCACTATCGGCTACAAGAAGTCCAGGCTAACTCAGATGCAAGAGGAAATTGATTCTATCTTTTGATGTTTGAGTAGCGTGTGTAAGGGAGGGAATGAATTGATAGCAGCTGTCTTCTGAGGCTGTCTGAGAAACCAGGAGGCACATGGGGGATGCTGGGGAGACGGAACTAATTAAAGCCATGAGATTGGGTAGGGTCCAAAATACTCTGTGACCACAGAATGCTTCAAAAGTTAGAAATGTGGCCCAGAGCCCAGTGTTTTTAACTCCATTAAGGTATTGATTCTCTGTAGGATCCAATACATCATTTCTAAGATTTTTAGAAAGTTTCAGAAACTGCATTGTACAGAGAGAAATGGTGGCTCAGAATTCATCTGTATAGACTTTGCCTTGCCTTATTTGGGTGAGAAGTCATTCTCTTACCTTCTCAAGCATGCAACGGCCCCTGTGTCCAGGACACTGCCCTAGGTGACAGGATGTGTGGCTTAATCATGGACCCCAGCACCATTCCTGCCCCTTTCTCTCCTCAGCTTAGGTTGGCAGCTTGGCTCTGATGTTTGTATTCCTTTCCCAGGAGGTAGAGATTTGCAGGTGCACAAGCTTCAGAAACACCAGATAGGATTGGGTTTGCATTTAGGGGGATCATCTTGGTGGACCTGAATGAAGTCGACATGGTGCAGGAGGCTGGTGAGGGAGTCCAGGCGTGGCACCATGAGGGCCACCCACCAGGACGGACGTAGGGGATGGAGAAGATGAGTTTGGTTTGAGTTGCCCGTGGGACATCCAAGTGGAACTTTCAGATTATTCAGTGGAAAGTTATTGAACACCTTCTGTATACCAGACCTTGTACTCAAGATCTGGAGAAGAAAGGTCTAGAGTTGCAGATTTGAGAATCATCGGCATTTAAGTGGCACCTAAAACTGTAGGGAGGCTGAGGGGTTGCCTGGGGAGAGTGTGTAGAATCAAAAAGGAAGGGGGCTTAGAATCCAACACGTGGAGCAGCCAATGTGTGTCGGGGGGGCCCTCAGCATGGGACATCTGTAACCCGCCCCTGCTTCCTGCCGGGACCCATGATTGTCCCAGGTAGCCTGTGCTGGGTAGATCGGCCATTAGGAAGCAGGAAGCAGTGTCTGTCTGATGGTGTTTTGCACGATTGATGCTCTTGCATTGGGGAGACTTAAGCCTAGCCAAGGTGGGGCCATGGTGCCAGTTGAGGGACTGCTTCCCACAGTTCTAACTGGCAAACAAGGGCACGGGAGTGTGACTGTGTTACCTGGTTGGGGGAGGGGTGGGTAATTATATAGAGGCGCTTTAAACTACAAAGCACTGTGCAGATGCTAGTTATTTCTTTATTACATTTAATCTTGGCAGACCATCTCTGATCTTTGAACTATGAATGAATCAGACCAAGTTTCTTCATTATCCTTTTTTCATCTCTTTTCTGCGTAATCAACTAGCTCTTTTTCTTCATTGTGAAAGGATTATTGTTAAGAATGTTTCAAATTATAAAATGCTGAATAATATTGCAGAATATTGTACTATTCCTTTTCTGTAGGGCATTTGTCTACTTTTTTTTCTTTCTTTTTTTTTGAGACGGAGTTTCGCTCTTGTTGCCCAGGCCAGAGTGCAATGGTGCAATCTCAGCTCACTGCAACCTCTGCCTTCCAGGTTCAAGTGATTCTCCTGCCTCAGCCTTCCCGAGTAGCTGGGGTTACAGGCATGCGCCACCATGCCCAGCTAATTTTTGCATTTTTAGTAGAGATGGGGTTTCTCCATATTGGCCAGGCTGGTCTTGAATTCCTGACCTCAGGTGATCTGCCCACCTTGGCCTTCCAAAGTGCTGGGATTACAGGCGTGAGCCATCACGCTTGGCTCATTTGTCTACTCTTAATTTTTGTATTTTTATTTTTATTTTTTCTTGAGAGAGAGTCTCGTTCTGTTGCCCAGGCTGGAGTGCAGTGGAACAATATCAGCTCACTGCATCCCCTGCCTCCTAGGCTCAAGTGATTCTCCTGCCTTAGCCTCCCAAGTAGCTGGGATTACAGGAGCTCACCACCACACCCGGCTAATTTTTGTATTTTTGTAGAGATGGGGTTTCGCCATGTTGGCCAGGCTGGTCTCCAACTCCTGAACTCAAGTGATCTGCCCACCTCGGCCTCCCAAAGTGCTGGGATTACAGACGTGAGCTACTGCGCCCAGTCTTGTCTATTCTTAATTTATTGATTTTATTTATGTGTCACTTGCATTTTATTTACTTGCTGTCGTTTCAGCAGGCCCATCCCCTCTCTCCTTTCCCCTCCTTGCCATTTTCTGTCTGATGACTCTTCCTTCTTCTGAGCAGGTTTTCAGTCCTTTCTTCTAGGAAATTCCTCTTTGTGGTTCCTAAGGAATTCACTTTGATTAGAAATGAAACTGTTTCTTTCCTTTTCCCCTTCCTCTCCTCCACAACACTTTCCTTCTTGTAGACAGGAAAGTAAATGACTTGTTTCAGAAGAAATCTACCCCTCTCTTGAGCTCCATTCAAAACCCCAACATAAGCGACTGGACTTGAACTTTCGCAAGATTTCCATGTCTGGGGTTTGTTGTTCACATGTCACTTCAGGACTGATCTCCAGGAAGTGTAGTTTGGTGTCGGCTGAGTCAGATCTGGTAGTGGAAGACTGCGACAGCTGCCTATCCAGCTCTCGGTGGGCTCCTGGACTGCCCTTGGGGGCAGTTTCTCACCCAAGGGGACCAGGCCCTGAGGAATTTATTCCCATGAGCCTGATTCCTTTCATTTTTATTTTTATTTTTTTGAGATGGAGTTTTGCTCTTGAGTGCAGTGGTGCGATCCTGGCTCACTGTAACCTCCGCCTCCTGGGTTTAAGTGATTCTCCTGCCTCAGCCTTCCGAGTAGCTGGGATTACAGGTGCGTGCCACCACGCCTGGCTAATTTTTGTATTTTTAGTAGAGGTGGGGTTTCACCATGATGGCCAGGGTGGTCTCAAACTCCTGATCTCAAGTGATCCACCTGCCTCTGCCTCCCAAACTGCTGAGATTATAGGCGTGAGCCACCACGTCCAGTCTTGAGCCTGATTCTTATAAGACAGATTGCTCAAGGCCTGGTCACCAACCTGCTTATGGTAGGTGGACCTTCCCACCTTCTCTGGAGGGCAGCGGGGTGGGAGCAGGGGGTGGTAATACCATGTGTGTCATTTGGTACATATTTGCTGCCAATTCCTAAGAAACCAAATCAGTAATTTCCTGAAGGGGAATCTGAGCAAAGCGCATGGCATGGTGCCGAGGGTTGTTCATCCTCCCACGTGGGGCTGGGGGCCGACCCCACTGCCCACAGGCACATTTTCTACTGTGGACAACCCTGTCAGCTGGAGCCAGCCCAAGGAGTGGCACACAGCCTCACCCTTCAGTGCCTTTTTGCTCTACTCCTGCCCATGCTTACAGTTTACCTTTCATTGGTGCAGCACTGAGTGCTCTGGAACACACATTCCTCCTGTAGTTGGGCTTGTAGTTGTTAATATCATATTGCCCATCTCCAGGGACAAATTTGGGATATTCACTCTTTATTTCCATGAAGAGCCCAATCTAGGGTGGTTCTTTTTATTTTTTTTTTAAACAGTCTCACTCTCTCGCCTAGGCTGGAGTGCAGTGGCATCATCTCAGCTCACTGAAACCTCCACCTCCTGGGCTGAAGAGATTCTCCTGCTTCAGCCTCCCAAGTAGCTGGGATTACAGGCGTGCACCACCACGACTGGCTAGTTTTTGTAGTTTTAGTAGAGACGGGGTTTCACCATGTTGGCCAGGCTGGTCTCGATCTCCTGACCTCAGGTGATCCGCCCGCCTCAGCCTCCCAAAGTGCTGGGATTACAGGTGGCATTTCCTATCCCTTCCATTGTGTCTCAGACCTGCTGGCCTTCACAATTACGGCGTAGTGAAGGGACCTTGTGAGTCTTGGTCGACCCTCACCCCGGGTGGCTTTCTGCTTTGGACTCTGGGTCAAAGCACTGGCGTCACAGTCATTCGACTTGAACCACCAGGAGCTCCCCCACTTACCAACTGTGAGATCTGGGGTAAGTTATTTAACCTCTTTGCCTGGTTTCTCCTTCTGCAAAATGGGTGTGATAATAATACCTTTTTCACTGGGATAGGCGGCAAGCACTAGAAATGGCTGTTTCTCTGGCTGTCACTGTCATTGTGATGATTATTGGCTCTGATAAGGAATTGTAGAAAAGCCTGGCCCAACCACAAGGGAGGGAAGAGCAGCCCCAGGCTTCTTCCAGGATGTCTCAAGGGCGCCTGGTGGCTTCAAGCCCTGCCCTTGCCTCCCTGGTTGGGGCGGACCTGACATCCCTCCCCGCTTGGCCCTATCCACCCTATCATTGTTTCCCAACCCCTGACTGGGGTGTCGGACCCTCAGCCCCTGTTTAATAAATAGCCATATTCAACTTTCCTAGACAATTTTTGTCTTAAAAAATGTAAAAACGGCTGGGCACAGTGGCTCACGCCTGTAATCCCAGCACTTTGGGAGGCCGAGGCGGGCGGATCATGAGGTCAGGGGATCAAGACCATACTGGCTAACATGGTGAAACCCCGTCTCTATTAAAAATACAAAAAAATCAGCCGGGTGTGGTGGTGGGTGCCTGTAGTCCCAGCTACTCGGGAGGCTGAGGCAGGGGAATGGTGTGAACCCAGGGGGCAGAGCTTGTAGTGAGCTGAGATTGTGCCACTGCACTCCAGCCTGGGAGACAGAACAAGACTCTGCCTCAAAAAAAAAAAAAAATGCAAAAACACACTTTCAATTATTCACCATTTCCCCACAGTAACTAAGAAAGACCAAACTGTACCTTCCCATCTCTCTATAGTGATCATGGCTTTGCTTGCTGGACAGGGCTTTGGTTAATAACTCTAATAATCAGGGAAAAAGCAAAAACAACACAATAGAGGAATGGCGCATAGGAGGCAAAATAGAAGAAACTGACCAGTCGCATTGGCTCACATCTGTAATCCTAACACTTTGGGAGGCTGAGGCAGGCAGATCACCTGAGGTCAGGAGTTCAAGACCAGCCTGGTCAACATGGTGCAACCCTGTCTCTACTAAAAATACAAAATTAGCTGGACGTGGTGGTGCATGCCTGTAATCCCAGCTACTAGGGAGGCTGAGGCAGGAGAATTGCTTGAACCCAGGAGGCAGAGGTTGCAATGAGCCGAGATTGTGCCACTGCATTCCAGCCTGGGCGACAGAGATGCTGTCTTAAAAAAAGAGAGAAGAAACTTACAAGCTGGGTCACCGTTTTTTTTGGTTGCCTTCTAAATGTCGGAGAGAATATGCTTTCCACATGAAGTTCTCCACAGAGACAAAGAATCATGTACTTTTTTCTTTTCTTTTCTTTTTTTTTGAGATGGAATTTCACTCTGTCGCTCAGGCTGGAGTGCAGGGGCACGATCTCGGCTCACTGCAGCCTCTGCCTCCCGGGTTCAAGTGATTCTCCTGCCTCAGTAGTATGGACTACAGGCATGTGCCACCACACCTGGCAAATTTTTGTATTTTTAGTAGAGATGGGGTTTCGCCATGTTGGTCAGGCTGGCCTCAAACTCCTGATCTCAAGTTCTCTGCCCATTTGGGCCTTCCAAAGTGTTGGGATTACAGGCGTGAGCCACCACACCCGGCTAGAATAGTGGAATAGTGTACTTTTGATCCAAATTTCTCTCTGCCTCTTTTCTTTCTCTCTCTTTCTTTCTCTCTCTCTCTCTTTTTCTTTCTTTCTTTCTCTCTCTCTCTGTCTCCTTCCTTCCTTCCTTTTTGCATTTTGGCAATGGCCTTTCACTTAATGTCTTTTCTCTTTATGCTCCGTCTTTGGGAGGAATGCGTGAAGAGTTGGTTGTGGGTGGGAGACATGGTGAAGAAGGCTGCTGGCATGGCTGTAGTGGAGGAAGCCAGGTATGTCCTTTCATTAGGTCAGATCATGTGAGCTGCATGGAGCTCGGTTCCTTTCATATGGAGAACCTGGGGTTAGGATGTCCCTGTGGCCCTAGATGGCCTCACTTTGTTCCCCTGAGCTTTAGAATCTTCGTCCTCGGCAGGGTTAGTGACGCACAACACCTGAGGCTTCGAGTTGCATTTAGGGAAGAAAGGGATCATGGCGCTCCCTGTTCAGCTGGCGAGCCGTGCTGGAGCCCTGCCATGGTGCCCCCGCACCCTCCTACCCCTGCTCCCATTCCTCCCCGCCCCTCACCCACTTCCCTTCACGATGGCCTAATGGGTCTGATGACTCTCTGAGGACTAGTTACAAATAACATTTGCATGGATCATTGAAGCGCTTTTTATCTCATTATGTCACTTAGTCCTCACACCCACTCTGTGAGGTGGATATTCTTGTCACTGGCATTTTATAGAAAAGAAAGTGGAGGAGGAACAGAGGGTGAAGAAGGCGCCCAGGCTCCCCCCGGGAAGCGCAGACCCGGCTGGTCTCAGGGCCAAGACTTCCAGATCCAAATGCAAGTCAGAAGTCGTCTTCTCTGAGGAGATCGAGACAGACGGTTGTGGAAGTGGTTACATGACTGTGTGTCAGAACATAGAACTGTACACCAAAAAAGGGAATTGTACTGTACATGAAAAAGGGGAATAACAACAAAAGATAGATGGTGGAGAGCACAGACGGTCAAAAGATGGCTTCAGCATACAGTTGACCCTTGAACCACACAGGCGTTAGGGGTGCTGCCCCCCACACAGTCAACATCCATGTATAACTTTTTTTTTTTTTTTTTTTGGAGATAGAGTCTCTCTCTGTGTCACCCAGGCTAGAGTGCAGTGGCGCGATCTTGGCTCACTGCAATCTTCGCCTCCCGGGTTCAAGTGATTCTCCTGCCTCAGCCTCCTGAGTGGCTGGGACTATAGGCGCCCGCCACCACACCAAGCTAATTTTTATGGTGTGATCACGGCTCACTGCAGCCTCAACCTCTTGGGCTCAAGTGATCCTCCTGCCTCAGTCTCCCAAGTACCTGGGACCACAAATATGTGCCACAACACTCGGCTAATTTTTTGTGTTTTTAGTAGAGACGGGGTTTCACCATGCTGGCCAGGCTGGTCTCGAACTCCTGCCCTCAGGTGATCCACCCACCGCGGCCTCCCAAAGTGCTGGGATTACAGGCACGAGCCACTGCGCCTGGCCAGGAAAATATATTGACTATTCATTAAGTGGAGGTGGATCATCAAAAGGTCTTCATCTGCATCTTCACGTTGAGTAGCTGAGGAGGAGGAGAAAGAGAAGGGGTTGGTTTTGCTGTCTCAGGGGTTGCCGAGGTGAAAGAAAATCTGCAAGTGGACCTGTGCGGTTCAAACCCTGTTGTTCAAGGGCCAACTATGGTGTGGTAAGAGCTATGGTACCTTAACAGACACTCCACGGGGCTGGGAGAGAAGTTGACTTGGATGGGGCACCATGGCACATGTTGGGATGATGGCAGTCTTTCGTATCTTGCTTGGAGAAGTAGTCACACAGCTGTACATATTTGTCCATATTCATCAAAATATACACCTAAGGCTGGGCAAGGTGGCTCACGTCTATAATCTCAACACTTTGGGAGGCCAAAGTGGGAGGATCGCTTGAGCCCAGGAATTCGAGACTAGACTGGGCAAAATAGTGAGACCTCATCTTTACACAGAATTAAAAAATTAGCCAGGCGTGGTGGCACACACTTGTGGTCCCAGACACTAGGGAGACTGAGGCAGGAGGATCGCTTGAGCCCAGGAGGTTGAGGCTGCAGTGAGCCATGATCACAACACTGCACTCCAACCTGGGTAACAGAGTGAGACCCTGTCTCAAAAAAAAAAAAAAAAACCAAATACACACACACACACACACACACACACACACACACACACACAGAGTTAAAATGTGTGCCATCTACTAAAATTCAGTAGGTTTTATAAAAAGTCAGTAAAATACAGGAATCACAAAAATTGTGCATACATATATACATTTATATGTATTTTAAATAGTTTGTTTTAATTGAAAACATTTAGCTATACAGTCATTTGCCAATCTTTTGTTGAAGGGAAAGTTCTTTCCTTTTTATATAGGTACTCTGTTTGGTATTCCTTGTGGCCTTTTTCTTTTTCCTTCTTCTTTTTTTTTTTTTTAAAGATGAGGTCTTGCTATGTTGCCCAGGTTGGGCTTGAGCTCCTGGGTTCAAGTGATCCTCCCACCTTGACCTCCTGAGTAGCTAGGACCACCGGTGTTAGCCACCACCCCCTCCTATGGCCTTCTTTTGCAGCTGGGATGTGTTGTGTGTCATTTCCAGTTTCCTTAAAGTGGAGTAAGAATTAAAAGTCACTTGGAAGGAACCTGGGTACAGAATCCCCCTACATTTTTATTACTGTTCTTTCTTTTTGGCCAAATTGTTACTGTCTTGCCTACCTTGAATTCAACAGCAATTTCTTCTAGCTACTTATATTTGTCAAAAATGTTCAAAATACTCACTTTACTTTTTTTAGAAACAACGCGCTTTCTTTCACATCCATATTTTATCTGTGTAGGTTATATTTAATTAAGTTATGTAAATATAATACCAAAAACAACTGGCATAAACAGGTTTGGGACTAAACATAAGTGATTCTTGGAAAATACTCCGAAAGTTGGAGCAGAAATAAATGCATGGCCTTCCTAGAGAGGAGCTTGCCTGCGGCACGTGTAACGTCAGTTGATTTCTGGAGGGACTGGACTATCTTGGTGGATCCAGTGTCTCGGCTCTGGGGACTCCAGCGCTATCCTGTGCCCCTGCCCCTTCCTGCTCGGCTCTGACCTGCTCCCTCCTCGCTGCTTCCATTCCTGGTTCTTTCATTTTCCTTTTTTTTGAGACGGAGTCTCACTGTTGTCGCCCAGGCTGGAGTGCAATGGCATGATCTCGGCTCACTGCAACCTCTGCCTCCTGAGTTCAAGCGATTCTCCTGCCTCAGCCTCTCAAGTAGCTGGGATTACAGGTGCCCACTACCACGCCCAGCTGATTTTTGTATTTTTAGTAGAGATGGGGTTTCACCATGTTGGCCAGGCTGGTCTTGAACTCCTGACCTCAGGTGATCCACCCGTCTCGGCCTCCCAAACTGCTGGGATTACAGGCATGAGCCACCCTTTCCTGGTTCTAATTTGTCCACAGGAAGTAATGCATGTCTACTTCTTGTTTTCTACACAGCAGCCCTTCCAGTGTTTGAATTCAGCTATGTTGCTCTCCCTGGATCTCCTCTTCAGCCTCGCCCATCTCCCTTTTTCAAGAAGTCCTCAGGCGACATGGTTTCCAGACCTTACATGGTCCTGGGCACTTTCTCTAGGTGTAGACTAAAGCGCATTGCTCAGGACTGCCTTCTCCTGTTTGCCCAGGCTGCTCACAGAACCTTGTCCATCCTGCCTAGCTGCGGGACACAAACACTGCAGGTAGAAATTCTGTAGCTATACATTTAAGATTGGGGGTATGGCCCCCCCATTTCTGGAAAGTTTATATGTCAGGCCTTAATGATAGAGCTATTGTCTACATAAACATTTACGTTTTTAAAAAATTTTTTATTTATTTTTTTTTTTTTTGAGACAGAGTCTGGCTCTTTTGCCCAGGCTGGAGTGCAGTGGCATGATCTCAGCTCACTGCAACCTTCGCCTCCTGGGTGGTGGCGCACACCTGTAATCCCAGCTACTCAGGAGGCTGAGACAGGAGAATTGCTTGAACCTGGGAGGCGGAGGTTGCAGTGAGTCGAGATTTCGCCACTGCACTCCAGCCTGGGTGACAGAGCAAGACTCTGTCTCAAAAAGAAAAAAAAAAAGGCAACTTCATTTCATATGATTCAATCTAACATAAAAGTAACAAATGTATTCACTGTGGAAAGCCTGGAAAATACTATGTAGTATGAAAAAATATTACCCATAATATTATTTCTGAAGGATAACTGCTATTAACATTGAGGCTTCTCTTAAACGAATATCAGTTTTCTTCTATATTATGAAGCACTATTGTAAGAAAATAATTCAACCTAGACAGGAGTACAAAGAATAAAAGTGAAAGTCCTCCTTCCTTCCCTTGCTCCCCTTCTCATAGGTACCCATTGCCAAATGTTTGGTGTGGATACTTCCAGAGATCTTTCTGTGAATTGCATATTTATGTGACTCTATGCACATTTAGGACAGATACATTCTTTATATAAGCTTATGCAAATCGGGGAAGCAAAGCTCTACACACCCCTCTATGGTAACTGTAGTTTCCTCTCAAGGGGATGAGATGCCTCTGCCGTCTGCAGCCCTGCCTCCATCAGCTGGGTGGTGCCACTCGAGGTCCACACTGGTGGCCTCCTTGAGCCACAGCCACCTCTCGAGCTGAGGAAGAGTCAGGGCTGGTCTAGCAAGCTGCTTCTGCTTGCTTCCATCTGCAGCAGCAAGAAGGCATCTTTCAAGGGCCTACTGGGCAGGAAATCCAGGGACAGTTTTGCCTGGCAGGCTGGTGGCAGAGGTGGCTGGGGTGACAGCAGCATTCCAGCCGAGAGTGAGGTCCCGCTCTTAGACAGACATGGGCTTTGGTCGCAAGAGAATGGTTTATTTATTGGGATTGAAGAAGGCATCAAAATCAATACAGTCATCACCTCACAGGGCAGAAGAGCGGATGGTGGTTTGGGGAGAAGGAGGCGGTGTGCCAGGAGGAGGGAAGCGTGGCCCAGAGTTGGATGCCTGGGGCCCTGGGCAGCGCAGCTGACCTCCCTGGGCCTCTGTGGGTCAGCTGCCTAGGGAGTTGCCTAGGCAGTTGGCAACTGCCTAGTGGCTCTGCCTAGGGAGCAGAGGTAGAGACAGGTGAGCTGGGAAAAGGTGGGAGGGGTAGGGGGACATTGGAAGCCAGTGACACCGGGATTCAGGGTGACAAGGGGCATGAGGGGACAGTGGAGTGTTTGGAGGCTATTGAGTGCGTGGTTGTGTGGTGAGAACAGGGAGAATGGTGGTGGAGCTGGAGGGAGGGCAGGTCACCTGCCGTGGTCGTGCTTGGCGTCCGCGCTGGAGTTCTCTGGCGGTGAAAGGGTTTCCAGTGTGAACTGGAGCTATCCCCAGGCTGCAGACCTCCCACTGCTGAGCTGCTGTTGGTTGCGTGGTAAATTTTGCTTTTGTTCTCCCAGTCTTAGGAATTCTGTTTGCTTCCCCGAACCTCCCAGGCTTCCCCAGGCAAGGGTTGTCTCCCCAGAGACCTGGAGCCGGGAGCTGTGCGGTTTCCTGGGACCTGTGGCTTCTGCTCCTTTGCTTTGTGGAAAGGAAGTCAGAGGCGGAAATGGGAGGGCTCCTTTCCAGTGCTGCAGGGCTCCATTGAGAGGCTGATTTGAGAGTGAAGATCTTCGGAGGATATTTCCTCTGGCTGAGTGTAATTGACTTAATCTGTGGTGTGGCTCATTTTTCCTTTTGGAAAAAGGAGAGATGGCGCCTGACTCACCCCTTCATGAAGCACTGTGTGAAGTACACGAAGCCCCTCTCCCCGAGGACAGCCCTGCATAGGTGCATTCCCACACAGTCAGTGTCCCGACTCCCATCCCGCAGACAGTAGGTCCACTCCCTTCCTTTCTTCTCGGTGCGAGGGTGGGGCTCACCCCACGGTGATGGAAAGGCGGTCCTCGAGCCTCCCCGGGGGCCTCTGTGGCGCACGAACTGGGAGAGTGGAGAGAAAAGCCCCTCAGGAGGAGGAGTACTGAGCTGGGCCGTGAAGGGCACGTTGGATTTCGATCCTGAGGTCAGTAGGGGAGGGGCAGTGGCAGTGGCTTGTGAACAAAGGTCTGGGGGTGAACATAGACGGGGTAGTGGAGAACCTCTGACTGGAGAGTTGGGTGCAGTAGTAACAAAGAAGCCTGGAAGGTTATTTGGGATCTGAAATGGGGAGGAGTAAAAGCCATATGAGACAGTTCTGACTCCATTTTGTAGACAGTGGACAGCCATTGAAAGCTTTGGAGCAGGCAGTTGACCTGAGCCCTGCTACCTTTCAGGAAGATGATTCTGGCAGCGAACGGTGATGGCTGTGAGCAGCAGAGTATGTGAGAACCTGCCTGAACGTGGCGGGATACAAGGACCTGACCTGAGCCACCGAAGCGGGTATAGGAGAGAGAGGGATTCGTTCAGCCAGCATAGACGGAGGGCCTGCTGGTGCTCAGCATATTAGAAGGTGCAAAATGGAAAAGTCTGGGTTGTTGTCCTTGCTGAACTTCCCGTGTGAGTGTGAAGATTTCAACACACTCCCCATAAACTGATGAGAGACTATTTCAAATCACCCATGAGAAGGTGGAGGAAGAGAACAGCCAGCCACATGTGACATCGTGATGGTAGAGTTGGGAGGAACACTGACCAAGCACCTGTTTCGCGCCGGGCACTGTGTCAGGTGCTCTGATCCTCTCCCCAACCCTGGGGAGATTTCAGAGAGAGACTGAGGTGCTTTCTCAGGGACACACAGGCCCTTGGCAGGTGAGGCTGGTGTTCAGCTTCTGCTCTGTCCAGTTTCAGAGTCTTGGCTCTTTATGCCAAGGGCAGGGGGCTTTGAACCAGGCCTTGAAGTTAGTGGTAGCAATGGAGGTGGGGGTACATTCTATAAGAAGTCCCAGAAAGAGAGAGGGAGAGAGACAAAGAGAGAGAGAAGAGGGAGGAGGAGGAGGAGGAGAAGGGGGAGGAGGAGAAAAAGGAGAAGGGGAAGGAGGAGGAGGGTGTGGCTGAATTAGAGACCAGGAATGGCAGTTAGGGAAAGATGGGGTACAGGTATGGTAGGCAAGAGGGATATGGTTGAAAGAGGGTGGGTGGCTGGTCTCTTTCTTCCTCTGATCTACCATGATGTCATCTTGCGAAAAGATGATGAGACTTCTGCTTCCAGTCGAGAGTGAGCAGGACAGCCTGGAATTATTCTCCCACTGTAAACAACTAGGAGCTGGATAAAATATAGGGACCAGGCAATGGTGGACTGTGATTCCTTGGAAAAAGAAGACTAACCGAGTGAGCCCTATCGTTCATTACCTAGCCTTTCTACCTGAAGAGAATTCTACCACAGGGAGGGAGAACCCAAACGGAGACTGGCGAGATTACTAAGTTGAGGGAACAGAGATCAGAATTTGGAGACACCAAGTTCTAAGGTTTCTAGAATCTGTGGGACAGAATCCTAAAAGGAAGAAGCTGGAAAGAGAAAGATCTCCAGAAATCTCGATAGAGGCCTCCTGGAATCTCGGTGAATATCAATCTGCTCATGCACAGGGCAACCCTGTGAGACCAGAAGAGAACAACTGCAGAGGGAGCTGTAAGACAAACAGGATAGAGCCAACACAGGACCAGGGTTCACTGGAGTCCTCTTTAAAAGAATATGACAAAATTATGCATTGAAAAATGGTAACGTTTGCAGTGTGAGACATCCAGCAAAAAATTACTAGACAAAGAAGGAAATGTGACTGACCCACTAACAAAAAAAAAGTGGTCAATAGAAATAGACCTAGCAATGACAAAGATGTGATGGAATTATCAGGGAAAGGACATGAAAATAACTTTTTTTTTTTTGTAACAGAATCTCACTTTGTTACCCAGGCTGGAGTGCAGTGGCACGATCTCGGCTCACTGCAACCTTTGCCTCCCAGGTTCAAGCGATTCTCCTGCCTCAGCCTCCGGAGTAGCTGGGATTACAGGTGCATGCCACCATGCCTGGCTAATTTTTGTATTTTTTAGTAGAGATGGGGTTTCGCCATGTTGACCAGGCTGGTCTCAAACTCCCGACTTCATGATCTGCCCATCTCGGCCTCCCAAAGTGCTGGGATTACAGGCTTGAGCCACTGTGCACAGCCCGAATATAACTTTTATAAATATGTTTCATTTGATCAAGCATGTAAATGAACACATCAGGATGATGGGAAGAGAAATGGAAAGTATAAGAAGATCCAGTAGCACCTCTAGGGATGAAAAATCAAAATATCAACTACAAAATCAAAAATGAAAAGCTAGGTAGATAGGATTAATAGTAGATTAGACAGTGCAGAAGAAATGATCAGTGAATTGAAGCTAGAGCAATAAAACTATCTAAAATTAAGCACATAAAGATAAAATATTCCACCCTGGGCAATATGGTGAAACCCTGTCTCTACAAAAAATACAAAAATTAGCCAGGAGTGGTGGCATGTGCCTGTGGTCCCAGCTACTCAGGAGGCTGAGACGGGAGGATCACATGAGCTCAACGGCATAGGTTGTGTTGAGCCAAGATTCCATCACTGCACTCTAGCTTGGGTGACAGAGTGAGACCCTGTCTCAAAAGAAAAAAAAAAAGAAGAAGAAAGAAAGAAAAAACATTGACAAAAGGTAATACTCAGAGCATCACTGGCATGTGGGACAATATAACAGACCCTAATATGTTTAATTGAAGTCTCAAAAGAACAGAGAGAAAGACAGAAAAAAATATTTGAAGAAATAATGGTGGGAAAACGTCCAAATTTGATGAAAACTCAACCCATGACTCAAGAAGCTCAACAGAATACAAACAAATATAAGGAATAAGAATGAAGAGAATTGGTCAGGCGTGGTGGCTCATGCCTGTAATCTCAGCACTTTGGGAGGCTGAGGTGGGCGGATCACAATGTCAAGAGATCGAGACCATCGACAAACATGGTCAAACCCCGTCTCTCCTAAAAATACAAAAATTAGCTGGGCGTGGTGGTGTGTGCCCGTAGTCCCAGTTACTCAGGAGGCTGAAGCAGGAGAATCGCTTGAACCCATGAGGAGGAGGTTGCAGTGAGCCGAGATTGCACCACTGCACTCCAGCCTGGCGACAGAGCAAGACTCCATCTCAAAAAAAAGAAAAAGAAAAATGAAGATAATTACATCAAGGCACATTGTAATCAGATTGCTTAATAAAGATACACTCATAAAAGTAACCAGAAAGAAAACAAAAAGGAAAAAAAAGACACACGACATAGAGAGGAACAAAGATAAGAATGACAGCAGATGTGTGGTCAGAAATTATTCAAGGCAGAAGACAGTAGAACTGAAAAAGAAAGTAGGTCAATCTAGAATTCTATACCCAACACAAATATCCTTCAAAAATGAAGGTGAAATAAACACTTTTTGATGGACAAACTGAAGTTGAGAGAATTCGTAACCAGCAGACCTGTAGTACAAAAAATGTTGAGGCAAGTTTTTTAGGCAGAAGAAAAATGATACTAGATAGAAATTTGGGCTGCACAAAGGAGTGAAGAGGCTTCCAAATGGTAAATTATATGGAAACATATGAAAGTTATCTTTTCTCATTTTTAATCTCTTTGAGAAACTGCTTAAAGCAAAAATATAAACAAGGTACTTTGGAGTTTAGAACATACATAGAAGCAAAATGTATGACAAAAATAGCACAAAGGACAGGAGGGGAGAAATGAAAGTATATTGTTATAATTTTCTTATTTATCTTTATTTATTGTTACTAGTTTTTAGAGACAGTGTCTCACTCTGTTGCCCAGGCTCGACAGCAGTGGCACAATTATAGCTCACTGTAGCCTCAACCTCCTGGGCTCAAGGTCTTCTCCTGCCTCAGCCTCCCAAGTAGCTGGGACTACAGGCATATAACAGCATGTCTGGCTAACTTTTTGTAGAAATAGAGTCTCACCACGTTGCCCAGGCTGGTCTTGAACTCCTGGCCTCAAGCAGTTCTCCCACCATGGCCTCGCAGAGGGCTGGGATTACAATGTGAGCCACCACACTTGGCTGTAATTTTCTTATATGCAAAGTAATAGAATATTTGAACTAGACTGTACTAAGTTAATGTTTACTCTAAGTCCCAGAGTAATCACTGAAAAAGCGTAACAAAGAGATATGACTCATAAGCCAATAATGGAGATAAAATAGAATGGTAAACAAAAATCATTCAAAAGATGGCAAAGAAAGTGGGAAAAAGGAACAAAGAACAGTAAGATAAGTAGAAGACAAAAAACAAGACAACAGTTTTAAATATAGCCATATTGATAATATTAAATGTAAGTGATATAAATATTCAGTTTAATAGGCAGATATTGGCAGTGGCTCACGCTTGTAATCCCAGCACTTTGGGAGGCTGAGGAGGACAGATTGAGCTCAAGAGTTCAAGACCAGCCTGGGCAACATGGTGAAAACCTATCTCTACAAAAAATACTAAAGTTAGCCAGGAGTAGTGGTGTGTGCCTGTAGTCCCAGCTGTTTGTGAGGCTGAGATGGGAGGATCATTTGAGCGAGCCTGAGAGGTCGAAGCTGCAGTGAGCTGTGATGGTGTCACTCACTCCAGCCTGGGCGACAGAGTGAGACCTTGTCTTGAAAAAAGAAAAAAAAAAAAGACAGGTATTGTGCAGTGGATAACAAAGCAAGAACCAACTATCAACTATCATAAAGAAACTCATCTTAAATATAAAGACACAGATAGACTGGGTGTGGCAGCTCATGCCTTCAATCCCAGTGCTTTGTGATGCCCAGGTGCAAGGATTGCTTGAGGCCGGGAGATCAAGACCAGCCTGGGTGACAGAGCAAGACCCTGTCTGTACACAAAAAAGAGACCCTGTCTCTACAAAAAGAAATTTTCTCGCTCTGCTGCCCAGGCTGGAGTGCAGCAGCGTGATCTCGGCTCACTGCAACCCTTGCCTCCTGGGTTCAAGTGATTCTCCTCCCTCAGCCTCCCAAGTAGCTGGGACTACAGGCATGAGCCACCACATCTGTCCTCTACAAAAAATTTTTTTAAAAATTAGCTGGGGGTGATGGTATGCGCTGGTAGTCTTAGCTACCTTGGAGGCTGAGGCAAGAGGATGGCTTGAGTCCAGGAGTCTGAGGCTGCAGTGAGCTGTGATTGCACAACTGCACTGCAGCTTGCATGACAGAGCAAGGCCCAGTCTCAAAAAAAAAAAAAAAAAAAAGACACATAGATTAAAAGTAAAAGGATAGAAAAAGACATTTTGTGCAAACCCTAATTAAAAGAAAAATAGGCCAGGTGTGGTGGCTCACACTTGTGATCCCAGCACTTTGGGAGGCCAAGGTGGGCGGATCACTTGAGGCCGGGAGTTCGAGACCAGCCTGGCCAACATGGCAAAACCCCATCTCTACCAAAATAAATAAATAAATAAATAAAGATGGTGTGGCTATAAGTACCAGACAATATATACTTTGGAACAAGAAATATTATCAGGGATAGCGAGGGACATTTCATAATGACAGAGGAATCAATTCATCAAAAGACATCATAATTCTAAATATGTATGCACCTAATGACAAAGCTGTACCAAAGGAATATTTATAGAACCCTGCACCCAAGAACTAGAGAACATACATTCTTTTCAAGTGCACTGAAATGTTCTCAAAGACACACAACCTGTTACAAAACAAGACTCAATACACTTTGGCTGGGAGTGGTGGCTCACGCCTATAATCCCAGCACTTTGGGAGGCCGAGGCGGGTGGATCACGAGGTCAGGAGATCGAGACCATCCTGGCTAACACAGTGAAACCCTGTCTCTACTAAAATACAAAAAATTAGCCGGGCCCACTTGGTGGCAAGCGCCTGTAATCCCAGCTACTTGGGAGGCTGAGGCAGGAGAATGGCGTGAACCCAGGAGGCAGAGCTTGCAGTGAGCCGAGATCGCGCCACTGCACTCCAGCCTGGGTGACAGAGCCAGACTCCATCTCAAAAAAAAAAAAAGACTCAATACACTTTAAAAGATTGAACTCATATAAAGTATATTCTCTGACAAAAATGGATGGAAGTAGAAGTAACAGACTATATCTTTAAAAATCCCAAAATATTTGGAAACACATGCCTAAAGGAAGGAAAAAAATCACAAGAGATCTTAGAAAACATATTGAATTAAATGAAAATGAAAACAACATGCTGAAATTAGCAGACGCAGACAAAGCAGTGCTTTGAGGATAATTTGTAGCATTAAATGCTTATACAGTAGTTCCCCCTTATTCGTGGGGGCTGTTCCAGGATCCCCAGTGGATGCCTAAAACTGTCAGTAGTTCTGAACCCTATATATACCATATTTTTCCTATATATACGTATCTATGATAAAGTTTAACTTATAAATTAGGCACAGTAAGAGATGAACAACAACTGATAATAAAATAGAACAGTTATAACAGTTGGTACACATTTTCTGTTTGTGTCTTCCACCCACAAACTTAATACCTTTTTCATCTTTAAGCCCTTTACTATGCACTGTAGCTGTTACTTTTGCAGTCTGAAGTGCAACAGCAAAACTCACACAAATTTATCTTTCCCTTTTCACAAGTTCACATATAGAAGATTTGCTCTTACCCTAGATCTTCGCCACCTCAACGTATGATCTTTCCTTTGGTTGAGAAATTTTTTCTTTTCACTTAAAGGAAACGCTTTATGGCTTCTCTTTGGCATATCTGAATTGCTAGCATCACTACTTTTATACTTTGGTGCCATTATAAAGTAAAATAAGGGCTACTTGAACAGAAGCACTGCAGTACCTTGTCAGTCAATCTCATAACCGAGACAGCTACCAAGTGACTCACAGGTGGGTAGCATGGATAGTGGGGATATGTTGGACAAAGGGCTGACTCACATCTCTAGTGGGACAGAGCAAAATTGTACTAGAGTTCATCACACTACTCAATTTAAAACTTATGAATTATTTATTTCTTAAATTTTTCATTTAATATTTTTGGACTGTGATTGACCTTGGGTAGCTGAAAATGCAAAAAGTGAAGCCACAGATAAGGGAGACTACTGTATTAATAAAGAAGAAAGGTCTAGGCCGGGCGCAGTGGCTCATGCCTGTAATCCCAGCACTTTGGGAGGCCAAGGCAGGTGCATCCTTGAGGTCAGGAGTTCGAGACCAGCCTGGCCAACATGGCGAAACCCCATCTCTACTAAAATATGAAAAAATTGCTGGGTGTGGTGGCATGCCTGTAATCCCACTTACTTGGGAGGCTGAGGCATGAGAATTGCTTGAACCTGGGAGGTGGAGGTTGCAGTGAGCCGAGATCGTGCCACTGCGCTCCAGCCTGGAGGACAGAGCAGACTCTATCTCAAAAAAAAAAGAAGAAAGGTCTAAAGTCTGTGATGGAAGCTTCTACCTTAGAAGCTTAAACCTTTAGATTGAAGTAGAAAAACTAGATCCAGAGAAAGAAGCAGAAAAAAAAATTAGTGGGAAAACATTACAAATCAGTGACTCCAAAGCTGGTTATTTGAAAAGGTCAGTAAAATAGATAATCCTCTAGCTAGATGATTGGGAAAATGAGGGAGGACACAAATGACCAGTACCGGGATGCAGGTGAGCATGAATACAGATCATACAGACACTCAGAGAGTCATAAGATGATGTCATAAACAACTCTGTGCCAATACATTGAACGACTTAGACAAATTGGACAAATTACTTGAGAGGCACAAACTATCAATGTTGAATAGCCCCATATCCATTGTAGAAATTGAATTTTGGTTTAAAACCTTCCACAAAGGAAACCCCAGCCTCAGATGGTTTCAGTGCTGAATTTCATCAGACATTTAAAAATGAAATAATACCAATTCCACATAAATTTTATCAGAAAGTAGAAGAGGAGGGAACATTTCCCAACTTATTTTATGAATTCAATATTGCCCTGATATCAAAACCAGACAAAGACGTTACAAAACAAAAACTCCAGATGAATATCCCTCATGCACATGTAAGCAAAAATCTTTAACAGAATATTAGCAAAGAAAACCTGGAAATATATAAAAAGAATAATATATAATGACCAAGTAGGGATTTGCACAGGAATGCAGGGTGGTTTTAACATCTTAAAATTGGTGCAGTTTAACATTAGCCTACTGAAAAGGAAAACCCATAAGATCATCTCAATTTTGTCAAATGCAGAAAAAAGCATTTGACAAAATTCAGCATCCATTCAGATAATACCTCTCAGCAAACTAGGAAAAGAAGATAATTTCTTCAACCTGAGAAAAGGCATCTTTGCAAAACCTACATCATATTTAATAGAGAAAGTCTGAATGTTCTCTTTTTAACCAAGGTTGGCTTTATGAGCACATGACTTGTGCAGTCTGGAAATTCTTAACAATTTTATTTATTCATTTATTTATTTGAGACGGAGTTTCGCTCTTGCTGCCCAGGCTGGAGTGCAATGGCGCGACCTTGGCTCACTGCAACCTCCGCCTCCCGGGTTCAAGCGATTCTCCTGCCTCAGCCTCCCAAGTAGCTGGGATTACAGGCATGTGCCATCACGCCTGGCCAATTTTGTATTTTTATTAGAGATGGGATTTCACCACGTTGGCCAGGCTGGTCTCAAACTCCTGACCTCAAGTGGCCCACTCGCCTCAGCCTCCCAAAGTGCTGGGCAGGATTACAGGCGTGAGCCACTGTGCCCAGCCAACAGTTTTATTTTTGAACTTATGTTTTGCAGCTGAAGCCTGCTGAGACAATGGAACATGCATATGTACTGAAGAAATACATACAAGATGAGTACCTGCCATATGTTTTTGTGTCATTTGCATATTTGTGTGTGATGCCCCGGCAACATGGAGTTCTGGTGAATTCACAATGTCTGGGAGTTGAGCAAGATGCAAAACAAGCGCAAAATAACATGTCGCATCCACAGCTGAGTAAGTAGAGGTACTGACAGCTCTGAGATTTTGTGCTTTCTGTTCAAACTAGAACTTGCTTCAAATACAGAAAGAAGGCAGTGACATTCTCAGAAACATGAACATCCCATGCTGCTTCCCTGTATTGGCCAACCATTTAATGCTGAAATTAATGACACAGAAATAAAAGGGAAGGTAGGACACACCCTAATAGCTTTCATTCCTTCCTCACGCATTATAAGCTGAAGATAGTGTTAGCAGAAGGTGCGTGTATCAATAAATGAAATAAAAACAGTTGAGTTTTCTGCAGCCTTTCCACTGTTTTTGTTTTTGAGACAGAGTCTCGCTCTGTCGCCCATGCTAGAGTGCAGTGGTGTGACCTCAGCTCACTGCAACCTCTGCCTCCCGGGTTCAAGCAATTCTCCTGCCTCAGCCTCCCGAGTAGCTGGGACTACAGGCACATGCCACTATGCCCGGCTAATTTTTGTATTTTCAGTAGAGACGGGGTCTCACCATATTGGTCAGGCTGATCTCAAACTCTTCACCTCAGGTGATCTACCCACCTTGACCTCCCAAAGTACTGGGATTACAGGCCTGAGCCACCACACCAGGCCCTTTCCACCATTTTGGTAAAATAAAATACATATATACATATGAGCCAAGAAATACTAATTGCCATGTGAGGCAATTTTCCATGTGAGAAGGTTGCAGAGGGAGGTTTTAAGGGACTTTCTAAGGAGTGATAGAACACAAGCCAGTTTGGCTCCAAAGACAGTGCTTATTCCACGGCATCACACTCCCTCCTGTTGTAGGGGCTGGAGGAGGACTTGTTGACTAATGGTGTGAAGGTTAATTGGTGTCCCCAGACACAGGCAGCCACTGTGGGCTGGGAGGTAGTCGGTCAGTTCAGCACCGGCAGGTGGCTCTAGCAGCTGCTGGCACTGCCATGAGGGTCTTCCCGATAATGAGACGTGGAAAGGGATGGGACAGGAGCTGAGCCGTCCAGCTGGGTGGCAGGGTCCTGGGGCCAGGATGTGCAGCTACACTGCAGGGCCCAAAACCCAGCCAGTGCACAGTGACACAGGCAGCATTCCACCTCAGAGGCTGGACAGGCAATGGGGGAGGACCAGGGGATGGGAACTTACTTGAGAGCTGTTGTGGTTTGAATGTTTTTGATGTTCCGAATGTGTTTGAATGTTTGTGATGAAATTTGAGTTTTGTTGAATCTGTGGATACAGAGGACCTACTGTGTACAAGGCAGTGTTTGAGGATGGAGCCTTAGAATGTCAGCACAGCCAAATTTGGGGACCATTGACACACATTGCCTTCCCAGGTGATGAAAATGACCTTGACTCACTCAAGCAGACTCAGAAAGCTGGAGAATTGGGAATAAATTCAGGAGTAACCTTGGGAATTTATAATATGCCTAACAATAATAGGTAACACTTAGATGTATTGTGTATCTGGCACAGTCTGATGCTGGGCTCTTTACACACATCATAGAGGAGTCTCCAACCCACCCTGAGATGGGCCTGTGGTTATTTGCATTTCGCAGGGGAGGCAGCGAGTTTAAAGTGTGGCAACTTCCAAGGCCCAGGCCCATGATGGAGATGAAATTCCACTCCAGCCTGAGTTTGGAGCTGCATTCTTCACCGCCATGCTTTCCTGCCCCGAGTGTTGGCCTCACCGAGAGGAGGTGTGTGTGTCGGGGGGGAGTGGGCTGGGACACGTGGTCATGGGGGCCCACAGAGCCAGATGCCGGGGGAACCAGGCACCCTCAGGAGCCATCACGGCTATCGCTGCATGATGCCGGTGAACCCCTCGGGACTTGGCCTGGTTTTCGACCTCTTGGCAGCCCCGAGTGTTCCCAGGCTGTGAAAATCCCCCCAGGTGCAGTGGCTGGCCTGGTCTCCGAGGGAAAGGAGCCGTGGAGCTCGCAGGTGGAAGGCTAGAGAGAGTAAGTGATACGGTTAGGCTTTGCGTCCCCACCCAAATCTCATCTTGAATTGTAATCTCCATCATCCCTACGTGTCAAGGGAGAGACCAGGTGGAGGTAGTTGAATCATGGGGTGGTTTCCCCCATGCTGTTCTCGTGATAGTGAGTGAGTTCTCACAAGATCCGATGGTATTATAAAGGGCTCTTCCCCTTTCGCTCGGCACGTCTTCCTGCTGCTTTGTGAAGGAGGTGTTTTGTGACCCTTTCGCCATGATTGTAAATTTCCTGAGGCCTTCCCAGCCATGCTGAACTGTGAGTCAGTTAAACCTCTTTCCTTTATAAATTGCCCGGTCACAGGCAGTTATTTATAGCAGTACAAAAACGGACTAATACAGGAAGAAAGCTGGGGCTGCTAGGGAGAAGTTAAGACCAAGAGTGAGCCACGGGGTGTCACTTGTGGGGGACTGTCGAGTTGGTGATTTGCACCCCTTTGTGCCAGCCAGGCCCAGCATCTGCCTAGCAGAGCCCCAGGGACCGGCTTGCCTTGTGCAGCAGCTAACCTCACCCACTCAGGGCACATGGCAGCCTCCTTGCCAGCTGGGCTTCCCCCTTCCCCTCCCCAGGGCAGGCTCATCCGAGTGAGTGAGAGCAGTGAGTCCGTGGGCATCGCCCGGAACCAGCTCCAGTTTCTAAGGAGAGTAGAGCTTTTGCGCTGCTGGGAGCTGGATGATGAGTGGCGAGAACTGGCCTGGCAGCGCAGCTCACACCCATCTCGGGGCGGGGGTCTTCTCCCTTCATTCCTGGTTGTCATGACCCTGAGCTTCAGAGTTTCTGTGTCAAGGCGAAGCAGGAGGGCAGAGTGAGGTGACTGGGTTCTGTGCCCAGGTCTTGTGGGAAGATCTTAGGGAGGTTTATCTTCCCACCTGGCCCTTTGCAAGGTCCGGGTGGAGGTGAGGCGTGTTTGCTAAACATGATGTAGCGCAAGGAGGCTCAGGTGGGCTCGATGGAGGAGGCGGGGTTCAGCTAGATTTCGAGGGGGAGGCGGAAGGCGGCCAGGTGGGGAGGGGCATTCTAAGTGCGTGCTTCCCACATTGGGGGTGCAGGGTTGTGTTTGCTTTGGCGCATGTGAAGCCACAGGATGACCGTGGAGTTGGCATTTCCTTTCATCCTGTGTCCTCCATGTATTCATTCCTTCACCCAGCAGACAGCGTGCTGGGTGCTACTGAGTGCTGGGAACACAGTGGGGACTGGGACAGATGTCGTCCCTGCCCTAGTGGCACTTACACTGAAACAGGTGGAGACATCTGTTTGGCAAATATTTTTAAACACTTAAAAATACAAATACAAACATGGATTTTATTGAACAGAATGCAGAATCCACATATATTAGCAAGTAAAATGAGAAGCTTCC
Source organism: Homo sapiens (assembly GCF_000001405.40). Taxonomy (NCBI): domain Eukaryota; kingdom Metazoa; phylum Chordata; class Mammalia; order Primates; family Hominidae; genus Homo; species Homo sapiens. The sequence continues at coordinate 24,885,993 of NC_000002.12, read as the reverse complement.
TCCCCAGGCACTTTCGTGGGGAAGTTTAAGAGCTCTCAAAATAGGGGCTACAGCATGTGCCGAGGTCAGGAGGCCAGTTGGTGACATGCTGAGGACGTCAGCTTGGCTAAAGCAGATGGTTTACCTCAGGCAGCTGTGGGGGCGGGGTTTAGATTCAAGTTCATGGTAAAGCCCAGAGTATATAGGACCCTGAATGCCAGAATGAAGATTTTGAACTCTTGGACAATTGGCAGCTATTGAGGTGTTTTGAGCAGAAGGTGGTACTTGCAAAAATATTATTTTGGAAGATTAATGTGTTCCAGGGTGGATTGGCAGGACCAGGGAGATGAGTCTGTCCCCAGCCCTGTGGGAAGTAAGGGTGTGAGCCAGGTGGTGGCAGCAAGAGTGAGGAAAAAGGAGACCCAGAGGCTTTTACCTGGAAAGACCAGCTGGGATGAAGGACCTGCTGGAGGCACAGAAAGGAGCTCAGTGAGAGAGAGCAGGCTGGCGCTGGTTCAGGCGTTCAGCCAATGTTACTGAGGACCTGCGCCGTGTTGGGTGCTGTGTTCCTAGCTGGGGCGTAGTGTTGGCAGAAGTGAGACCTGTGGATCAGGGCTGGTTAGGGGAGACCATGACAAGCTTGGGTGTTCACATTGACTTTAGCGTTTTCCACTCCTGGTCCCGCCATAAGGTCTCCTGGAAACTTTTCAGCAATACCAGTGTCTGGGCCTCTGGTTCCACTTTTGTGGACTCTGCCTGGGCATAACTCCCCAGGTGATTCTAAGGCACAGCCAAAGTTGGGATCTGCTGAGTGAGGGTGAAGTGAGCACCTGCAGGTGGTGCTCATCAAGACAGTGGAGGCTGAGGAACTGGAATTTAGGAGAGGTGATAGTTCACCAGGGCCTTGAACTTGAATTTTGGAATTTGGAAGTCTCTGTCATGTGACTAAGAGAGTGCATTGAGAGGCCTGGTCCATGACCTGCCATGGTCCTTCCAGACCAGAGTCTCTCAGGACAAGAAGAAGGAAAATTGGAAAGGACTTTAAATCTGAATTGAAAACCAGGGAACTGAATTAAACGCAGGAGACATGAAGCAGCATCAACAGGTGGAAAGCACCGCCGTGGGTGGAGCTTTGAATGTGTGGGAGACATGCTGGTCAGAAGGGAAAAAAGATGGTAAAAGGGTACCTAACTCAGGGTGAGGGTGAACCAGGGATCAGAAGACTGTTAGAAAATGAGGGCTGGGCGCTGTGGCTCACACCTGTAATCCCAGCACTTTGGGAGGCCAAGGCGGGCAGATCACTTGAGGTCAGGAGTTCAAGACCAGCCAGGCCAACGTGGCAAAACCCTGTCTCTACTAAAAATACAAAAATTAGCCGGGCGTGGTGGCGGGCACCTGTAAATCCCAGATACTCGGGAGGCTGAGGCAGAAGAATCGCTTGAACCTGGGAGGCGGAGGTTGCAGTGAGCTGAGATTGCACCACTGCACTTCAGCCTGGGTGACAGAGTGAGACTCCGTCTCAAAAAAAAAAAAAAAAAAAAAAGATTATTAGAAAATAAAGACAATAAATGCATAGAAGAAAAATAGGGGATAGGCATAGGAAGATGGCCTAAGGCAGCAGCATGAGAGTTTGGTTTAAAGACCCAGGAAGGCTGGAAGCTCTTTGCCTTGTTTTCATATCTACTACTCCACCTTGAACAGTGATTCTGTAGAAGAGAATCACCTGGAGGAGGGCACAGATGCAGATGCCGGGGATTCTGTGGGCTAGGACCCTGGAATCTCCCATTTTAACCAGCTCCCTTTGGGACGCTGGTGCACCTGGCCCAGAAACACTGAACTGGAAAAACAGCAACTCAGGAACAACGCCAGAAGGGTTGCATCAGAACCAGTGACTGGAAAAAAAAAATGCTGAATGTCCCTGGGAAGGCTGTGAGAGGCTGTAGGGAAGAGGGAATTGCTGAGAAACCCCTAGAAGGACTAAAGGGGAGAAAAAAGATGTATCAAATCCCCAGGAGAAAGCTGTGATTCAGGAGAGCAGATGATGTGGGTTTTTGTTGCAGACGGTGTGCAAAAAGTTTTACTCTCAAAATGTCATTTTCTGAATTGAAAGGTAGGAAGTTTTGGAATCCAAAGAGTTTGCTGTGTTCCATGGCCACAAACACAAGAGAATAAGGGCTTGGTGTTTCTGTGTCATCAGTGATCTGTTCCCTTCAAGTTTTTACATTTTAAGTTTGTGTGATGATCTATCTGGATTCCTAAATATCTTCTGTCTCCAGATTATACACTTGTCTTCCTCCGAGCTGGTACATTTGCTTTCAAGTTCATCTAAAGTTAGTTTCAGAAAGTCAGGTGATCTGTGTGATAAATGTACCCAGTGTTGCTTATAGGTAAGAAAGCATGAGCAAAAGCATGGAGCCCTTTCATTCCTGCCTCACTTAGTATTGGCCGTCAGTTAGAAATTGGTTTCAATTTTCTTTATCGTCCAGAATCTATATGCTTAAATATATGTGAAAGCTCTGTGTTTTCAGAACATGTGAAAACTCCAACTGAGTGTGGCCAGCCCAAGCTTTCCTTCCTCATGGGGGCCTTTGCTGACTTCTCCCCTCTCCCTCAGAATCGAGCTGCACATCCTCTGTTCACTGCTAGCTTCTTTTTTTTATTTTTTTTGAGACAGAGTCTCTCTGTGTCGCCCAGGCTGGAGGGCAGTGGTGAGATCTCAGCTCACTGCAACCTCCGACTCCCGGGTTCAAGCGATTCTTCTGCCTCAGCTTCCCAAGTAGCTGGGACTACAGGTGCCCGCCACCATGCCCAGCTAATTTTTATATTTTTAGTAGAGACGGGGTTTCACTATATTGGCCAGGCTAGTCTTGAACTCCTGACCTCGTGATCTGCCCGCCTCTGCCTCCCAAAGTGTTGGGATTACAGGCTTGAGCCACCGCGCCTGGCCCTTTTTTTGAGACAGGGTCTCACTCCATCATCCAGGCTGGAGTGCAGTGGTGTGATCTCGGCTCACTGCAACCTCTGCCTCCCGGGCTCAAGCAGTTCTTGTGCCTCAGCCTCCCAAATAACTTGGGACTACAGGCATGTGCCACCATATACCCAGCTAATTTTTGTATTTTTAGTAGAGACGGGGTTTCACCAAGTTGCCCAGGCTGGTCTCGAACTCCTGACCTCAGGCGATCCACCCGCCTCGGCCTCCCAAAGTGCTGGAATTACAGGCATGAGCCACGGTGCCCGGCCACTGCTAGCTTCTTTACTGCCAGTAGAGTCAGCTCCTTGAGGTAATTTTATAATCTCCAGGGCCCAGTATGGGGTCCGCCACTCACCAGAGTATTCAATAGAGTTGAACTGACCACTTTGTAAAAAGACATGAGACCAAACATGATTCGGCTTTAAAACGGACTTCTTTAAATAGAATTGGAATTATTTGGCCTAGAGAAAGAGACCAAGGTGACTAAATAATGAGGTCACATCAATAAGAGAAGACAGGAAATGCTGTGAGCAGATGTTTGTGTGTCTAGTGAAGCAGCAAGAGCAGTGGGAGCTTTTGAGGAGTTTTGTGGTTCTCAGTCATCTGGAGTAACAGATCCTTAGGAGAATCTGACAAGAGCAATGGACTTGCTTCCCAGAGACGGGCCAAGTGTGATTTCTGCCCTACTTTAAGGGCTCACCAACTCCTCCAAAGCCTAGTCCAAGTGAGTAATCCCTGGGTTAGGATAAGATGCTACATTTGAGCTGTCCATTCTTGCATGGAAATGGGGAGGTTGACCAGATGGCCTTCTCTGGTTTTGACCATCTACACCCCTGAAACGTGGGCCTTCTGGGTGGGTGCATTGATCAGGCTGTTGTGTCTTTATGTTCAGTAAGTATCAGGAGCATTCTCCTCTTAGCCCACAAACTCTACAATTGACATAAAAATAAATCTACTTGTTCACACCATTGCTTCAGAGTTCATTATTCTCTGGTAGAAAAGGTCAAGAAAAAGTTCATTGTGAACACTCAGGAATCAAAAAGGAAGAAGGCGTTGTTCCAGGCCAGGGTTTCTTGACGTTGGCTCCGTTGACATTTGGGGCTGGATGGTTCTTTGTGGTGGGGGCTGCCCTGTGCAGTGTAGGATGTTCAGCAGCATCCCTGGCCTCCGCCCACTAGAGGCCAGTAGCACCCGCTCTCCTAGTCGTGACTGTCAAAACGTCTCCAGACACACTGTGGAATGGCCTCGGTGGTGGGCTGATCACCTGTGGTTGAGAACCACTTCTCTGTTTATCTTCATTTTGGCTCTCTTATCAAGGGGGAACACTTCAGTGGAGAATGAACTGTTCTTTCAGCTTCTTTTTACCACTGTAGCTGTTCACACAGCTCACGTTTGCTATGTTCCAATAGCTGTGCAAGGCCCTGGGGCTACAAATGTAAGTGACACCCATGATCTCAGGTACTTACTGCATCCTCTTGGGAGATACACACAGACGCATCAGGAGCTGCACTGAGGGAAGGCTGTGCCTCATGCTGTAGGGGGGTCTCCTTTGCACTGCTAGTGTCTTCTCCACCCAGAATGCCCATCCTTCTGGCCTCTCCCGTGGCTGGATCTTGCTTGGCATTCACTTCTCAGTTGAAATGACACTGCTTCCGAGAGACCTGTCCTAACGTCGGTGCCAGCTGTTTTCACCTAATGCTGCATAACAGCCCAGAACTCGGTGGCTCATGCCAGGCATTCCTCACTTGCACATCTGTGGGTTGGCTGGGGTGGGGCTGATCTGGGCTGGGATGGCTTTGGCTCTAAGCTGCAGCTTGGGATCAGTTCTGCTGTATCAGTTTATTGTTCTGTTGTACCAGTGAGGTTCTTAGTGTGTGGTGTTCTGGTGACGGGAGAAGCACAAAACAAAAAGCCAGCCCTCATGGGCATTTCAGAATGTGCTGCTTTTATAGATGCTGAAGTCTTTTTGGCCAAAGCAAATCACGTGGTCAAAGCCAGCAGGAAGGAAGGAGACTTTTTTTTTTTTTTTGAGGTGGAGTCTCACTCTATTGCCCAGGCTGGAGTGCAGTGGTGCTATCTTGGCTCACTGCAACCTCCGCCTCCCGGGTTCAAGCGATTCTCCTGCCTCAGCCTCCCGAATAGCTGGGATTACAGGTGCCTGCCACAACACCCAGCTAATTTTTGTACTTTTAGTAGAGATGAGTTTCGCCACATTGGCCAGGCTGGTCTCGAACTCCTGACCTCAGGTGATCCACCCGCCTTGGCCTCCCAAAGTGCTGAGATTACAGGCGTGAGCCACCATGCCCAGCTGGAAGGAGACTTTATACTCTGCAAGGATGTGGCTGTGTGATGCTTTTGCGGGGGAGTGAAGAACTAGGGCCAGCTGTCTTCCTCAGACCTCATCTAAAGCAGCTACCTAGTCACTTTCTACCACTTTTATTCTCTTTTGAGCTCTGATATGCTTACATTTGAAATATTATTTCTGCTAAGAGCTTGACAAGGGTAAGGTCACAGACTCGTCATAACATGTGGACCTCCACAGGCAGCAGAGGCAGGCTGTTTTGGTTGGAGCCTTGGATCCCTGAAATAGCACATCTTATAGGGAGGACTGGAGAGAGGCCCATTGTGATTGGAGGGAGGGGAGCCTGTTGAGGAGCAACCAGAGTCAAGACAGTAGAGCCTGGGGCCAAGGCCGCCATGTTCCGTGTCTGGGGAAGCCATCACGACAGATCTGTGTAGTGGCACCCCTGGCAGTGCGCAACCTGAGAAGCTGCTCTAGCTGCCTGGCAGATCATGAGGGACCTGGCCTAACATGTCAGATGGGCTGGATGCCTATTCTGGAAGTCCTCTTTGTTTTGGAAGAGGGTAGACTTTGAACATCTCTTACCAAAGGCATGCACAAGTTATAAGCAGAAAGCTTCTGGAGGCCCCTTTGTTTTGAGGCACATGGTGGAAACTTGGCAGATACCCAGCTCGGAAGGGCATGGCAGCAGCACCCCAGGCTTGAGCCTCGTGTTGTATTGATTAAGGTTGCATTTATTGGAGATCTCAGAGTCTCTCTTGGTGCAGCGATGCTTAGAATTTGCCCAAGGCAGCATGGGAGAGTCACTCACTGTCTGCAGACCTTATGACTCCTCCTTCCCACCTGCCCAGATGTTCCAGGTCCTAACTGGATCCTTAGCTCTTGGGGAGCCCCCTGTGCCGCGGCTGTAGCCCCGCCTTGGCAGACACCCATCACAGTTCAGCTAAGGTGATCGTATTGAGGGAGGGGAGCCCTGGCCCCGGGGTAAGGGGGTCTGGGTTCCGGTCTCAGCGCTGCTGGGAGACTAGGGGCTCGGAAGCTTATTTCTCTGACTTTAAGTCTCTTGCAAAATGAGAATAAGAAAACTCTGCCCTGCCTCCTCTTGTTGTGAGAAACAAATAGAATGATGAACATGAAGATTCTTGTAAAACGTCCTCAAAGTGTTATTATTAGTTACTAATTTGCCTTCAATGGAAGCAAAGAAAAAGTCATGAAAGGGGTATTTTGTGCCAAGCCCTGTGTGAGGTATGTGCAGTCTTTCAGTCTTTTTTTTTTTTTTTTTTTTTTTTGAGACAGAGTCTCGCTCTGTCGCCCAGGCTGCAGTGCAGTGGCGCAATCTCGGCTCACTGCAAGCTCCGCCTCCCGGGTTCATGCCGTTCTCCTGCCTCAGCCTCCTGCCCACCACGCCTGGCTAACTTTTTGCATTTTTTTTTAGTAGAGACGGGATTTCACCATGTTAGCCAGGATGGTCTCGATTTCCTGACCTTGTGATCTGCCCACATCGGCCTCCCAAAGTGCTGGGATTACAGGCATGAGCCACCGCGCCCGGCCCAGTCTTTCAGTCTTACTGGAACAGCCTGTGGGGTTACTGCAAGGGTGAGGAGCCATGTCAGAGAGGCAGGCGACTTGCTCCAGGGCACACAGCCTGCGGGCAGCCGTGTGCAGGTCTATGTGACTGCGAGGCCTGACCTCTTCCCGCCCCTCCATCTGCCAGTTGTTGCCTATGGCTTTCTATGTGCCAGTCCCGGGTGCTGGGGAGCCAGCAGGGAAACAACCCGTGTCCCGGCTGCATGGAGTTTGCTTTCCAGGCGACGAGGCGAAGGAGTGAGGACAGAGAAGGGCAAGTGCAGAACATTCTGTGCTGGGCCTCAAAGCAGGACTGGAGAATGAGTAGGGGTGGGCAGGGAAGGCCTCTGAGGGGTAGGGACATTTCATAGGGACTTAAGGAGCCACTGCAGCAGCCTCTACAGGCGTCTGCAGCGAGAGTGGCCCCAGAAGTGGGACCCATCTGTGCTGAGTGGCGGCCTCACAGGCTCTGGCTGGGCCTCCTTGGGTGGGAGAAGGCTGGTTGCCTTTGGAGGGGCCACCTCCCCTCCTCCTTCCTGCCCCATGGCTGCTAGGAGACTTTTTCCTAAAGCATCTGAGTAAGTTTTAATGACGAGTTTCCCGTGCGGCTGGCCTCCAGCCGCAGAACGTCATAGGTCTCTGTGGGCGACACGGACACTGCACCCTGAGCAGCTTTCTCTTGCTCAGCTTCTTCTCCACAGTTCCAGAGTGTTCTGGAACCTTCAGGCTGGAATGAGCTTATAGGAAGAGATTGGTTTGGGCAAGAGAGCCACCAAACCGCCTCCAGTGGGGTGACTTCCACTCGACAGTCCCACTTAGAGCAGCCCCATTTCCCTACGGGTTGTTAGCAAACGTGAAGGATCTTGCGATGCGTAAACTTCCAGGAGGGAGGATTTTGTAAAGGAATGTTCTCATGGTTGCGTTCTGAGCCGGGATATTAGAAACACTTTATCAGGCTGTCATGGGTTAGATGACACTTTAGTCCAAGTGTTTATCCATTTGGGAGATGCATTTTATTATTCTAAAAATGTTGTATATTTTAAAAAAGCAGAACAATTCTTTTGAAATAAGTTATTTCCAGGAAAACTTTAGGATTAAGAAACTTGTAAAAAGATCTATAAATAGAGACCCCAGGGGCTGTGGACCTCTGTCACCACAGAGCCTGATCGTGCTGTGCAGTCTAAAGGGGACCACGGGGCAAGAAGAGGTGACTTTGGTGGTGTCCAGAGCAGGCTTCTCAACCTCATGGGTTTGGTGAGTCACCCCAGGACCCGGGACTGGGCAGTGCAGTCAGCTCCCAGGTACAGCTGTTGCCCTTGGGCCCAGAAGTAAGGCTTCGAGCGCCAGCTGTCTCGCCCCAGGCCAAGGAGCCTCTTCCCTCTCTGTCTGGTGGTCAGATGGTGCCTGTGTGTGTGCAGAACACTTTGAGCGGGAGCCCTGGGAATAAGTTGCTCTTCATGATTCCAGAGAGGGAGGAGTCTCCTGTGTGCCACTCACCCAGTGTGGTGTCTGAGCTCGTCTTCGTGTTTCAGAGAGACCCCCATCTTTCTTTAATGCTCACGTCTTCGTGAAGCCATCCTCAGCATCACCCTGATTGGATGTGATCTCCCCAACTGTTCACACCTCTCCTCCTGCCTGTTGGTCTGCTCTGTCTGATGTTCTAGATCACTCCCAAAATGTACCCTGTCCGCTGTCCTCAGGGGAGCGACCGAGCCTTGTTCCTCTTTGTTCTTCAGGCGGGGGTGGACTGGGGTAGGTAGGGGATGCTCACTGGAAGGCTAGAAGCAGCAAAGCTGGGTCCCAGGAAGGATCTAGGGCCAGAAGGTCATGTTTACTGATGGCTTCTGCTCAGCTCGCCTGCTGACCAGAGGCTGAAGGGGGGAGGGGTGGGTGGTGAGTCTGTGAGTGTAGAGTCGTAACCCACATCTGTGCCACCCAACAGCGTGAGGCTTCCTGGGCACCTAGGGCTGGATGGGGCCAGGATGGGCTGAGGACACAGATGTGAGGACAGTGCCCACCTTCCCGCACACAGTGGCAGGGCCATGTGTGGGGGACATGGGGGAGGAGGAGGGGCTGCCTTGGGTGCAGCAGTACAAGTGATGGAGCAGATGGGAGGTCTCTGCAGGGCTCCCAGGTGGACAGGAGCCTGCCAAGTGGGCCAGGTTGGGTAGAATGGGATGAGGGGTTTGCAAAGTGGTGGGTGTGGGGAAGGGCCACCCTGGAGGGAGAAGAGTTCTAAAAAGGAAGGTCACTTCTCACTCGTACCTTGGAGTGGGAACACCGGAAAATTAATCCCAGATCAGCAGAGCTCAAGGCCTGGTGCAGAGAAACCCATGTGTCATGGTGACGTGAAAGACCTATTTCAGATTCTCGCTAGGGTTCAAGTTTTCCCCAGAGGCAGAATTTTTTCCTGGGTCTTCAGTTCTTCACCTGTAATGAGAGGCGATCCTGATGGATGCATTTTAGAGGAACGGCAGCTGCCCTGCTTACCCAGCATCAAGTTCTTCCTGCGGCCACACCTGCCTGGCCCTGGGGACAGGGACGATGTCACGCCACCGTCCCTCCTAGGGCCAGCTCAGGGCCCTGCTCATGCTGAAAGAGTGAAACTTACTTTTTACAGACATATTTTGAGGGGCACATTCATTTTGCTAAGTGAGATACACATTTATGAATATGAAACAGGAAATTTCTGAATCTTATTAGCTTAGAGATAATGGCCACCACTGTGTATGGAAGCTGTGGAAATGATAATGGCCACCACTGTGTATGGAGGCTGTGGAAAATCTGCAAGTATTGTTTCAGATTTAAAATGCGTGCAGCTCACACCTAAGTGCTATAGGGCTAGTATCTTCGTGACTATCTAAATTTCAGTTTTAAAAATCTCTAGGCCAGGTATGGTGGCTCATGCCTGTAGTCCCATTGTTTTGGGCAACTGAGGCAGGAGGATCACCTGAGCCCAGGAGTTCAAGACTAGCCTGGGCAATATAGCAAGACCCCATCTCTACAAAGAATAAAATTAGCTGGGACAAGTGATGTGCACCTGTCATCCCAGCTACTCAAGAGGCTGAGGTGGGAGGTTCGCTTGAGCTCAGGAGTTTGAGGCTGTGGTGAGCCCTGAATGTGCCACTGCAGTGCAGCCTGGGCAACAGAGTGAGACCCTGTCTCTATCTGCACCACCGCCCCCCTCCCAAAAAGAAGTCCACACTCCTTTCTGGGAAAAGATGGGGTTGTGAAATATGTAAATAAGTTGAGGAGTGCTTTAGGGAGGGGTTTTGAACCATAGAATAATGAGATTTGAATGCTGGAGGAGATCTCACCCTCTAGTTTTAACACCTTGTTTAATTTAATCTCAATTCCTTCTGTAAAACCAGAGTGACATCACCTGCCTCAGCACTGGTTGTAAAGTTAGAGGAGATGAGGCTGATAAAGTGCGTGCTTGTGTCTAGGACTTAATGTTGTGATGCTGAGGTGAGGATACAGGTGAGGAAACTGAGGCCGGGAGGGGGACTCCCCACCCAGGCTGCACGTCAGTGTTGCCTGGGAGCACTGCTGCCACCCTCGCCTCCCGTCGCTGCGTGAGCACCCCAGGGTGCTGCCACCTTCCCAGGTGACCCTGTCGGGAGCCTCTCCCACCACAAGCGCAGCTCCTGCGGCTCACTCTGGAATCATCTCTCTCAAAGCTGGCTCCTGCTTCTGCCTTGAGGTTTTCTGGGCTTGGCAGCATCACCCAGTGGGATTTGTGGCCTGGCCCTGGAGGCTGTGAGTTGGCCTGTAGGGTTGTGGCTGAGCCTCCCATCAGCTACACCCACGGGGGGTGGGGTGGGGGAGGTTGGGGGTTGCCAAGCTCCCTGCAGGCCTTGTAGCCACGACTTTGTGGGAGAGAGGGACCATAGGGATGGAACAGGGGGCAGCGCCCCAGGGGGTCCTCCTCCTCAGTTGAGGCAAGTTGAGAGAATTGGGGGTGCTTTAGGAAACCCAAGACCTGGCATTCACAGAATTTTCTAGAATCAGCTCACTGGCAGGCAGGGAGGGAGTTCCCTGGTAGGGATGGACAACCTTGCCTGGCCATCTCATAGGGACAGATGGGACAGGCTCTATCGAGTGAACAGCACTGAGCTTGTGCAAGGAGTTACTGTCATTACCCCCTCGGTTGTCTACCTAAGACCTGCTGTGCAGCCCACCAGAACAACTGTCTCAGAAAAACTTCACACCAATCACCAAAGATTATGACCCCAGGCTGGAAGCAGGGTCAGGCTTGGCTCATGCCTGGTGACCTCCTATGTAGGACAGTATTTCTTTCATTGATCTGCAAGTTTTTAAAAATAAAATCTGCTTTTTCACTGCACTTGTAGGTACATACAATATGGGGACATAAATTCGGGGGGAACCCTGGACTCTGATCCTGCCCCTCACCGGCTGGGCAATTTTCCAGGTCCAACCACTACTCTGAGCTCCAGTTTCACCGGTGAGCTGAGAATCAGCTCCCCTCAAAGCTCCCTCCAGCCCTGACACTGTCTGGTCTTTGTCCGCCTCACTTCCAAGGGGAAAAGCAAGGCCAGAAGAAGACCTGGCCCACAGAAGCCCAGCCGGGAAGGAGGCTGGAGGGAAGGAGAGGTGGCCAGCTCCCAGGTTGGCCAGAGAGTTAGGCTGGCTCCAGTCCCGGAGCCTCCCCCAAGTCACAGAGGCCTCCCCTTCCCAACCTGCACTCACAGTTCCCTTCTGGCCCCAATAAGGCTGGCCATTCAGGTGTTGACTGGGTGGCCTGAGGACATATGGTACTGACCACTCAGACAGGGGTGGGTTGTCCTGCCCCAACAGACTTGCCCCACAAACGGGGTAGGCGACTGGGGCTGCTCAGACCCAAGAGGTCAACAGGTCATTACAAGCTGGAACCAGACGCCAGCAGAGCTTGGGAATCTACACCCGGTGACTTGCTGACCAGCACTGAGACTCGCCTGACCTCCTGATTCGTCACGCAACGGGCCCTTGTTGAGTGCCACAGAGGCTGCAGGAACATTCTGCCGGGTGTGGTGGTGGTTGATCCTCAGGGCAAGTGTTGATCAGCTCTGATGAAACACAACACAGTTCAGGGAATATGGCATAACCAAGAGAACCCAGAAAATTCATGTGAGAACCAGCTTCCCTTGTTGTCTGTTAGACCATCTTGTTTAAAAATAAAAAATTGACTTCCCTGCCTTTTTCACCTACCCCAGAATACAGTCTACTCTGAGGCCAATCTTTTATCCCCTGAGGGCCAGAAATTGAGAAATTCTTCCGCTTCTCTTCCCATCTCATTTCTCAACTCCAAACTCGGTTCCGAGAAACCACACCTAGCAGGCGAGGCGTCGGGGATCCAGGGCTGGGAGGGTGGCCACAGCCTCGGGGGAAGGGCATGGAGCTGGCGCCAGGGAAGCTGGAGGAGCCAGACCAGGAAAGAGGCCTTGCTTGAAAAGGCTTACTGAGGCCAGTGGTCTTGGAGGAGGAGGAAGGATTAGCACTTGGTCCAGCCATGTTGGGGCCCAGGCATGGCCAAAGATTGGAGTAGCAGCAGCCAGGCCTGGCCGCCAGGCAGGGTTGGGATGTTCAGATCTGTATCCAAGGTTACCCCAGCAGGAGACCATCAGATCTGCAGTCCCTACAGCCTGTGGAAGTGGGCCAGGACACCTGGGGCATCTTCAGGGTGCCAGGGATGGGGAATAGGCACTTGATGCCCCAGAAGCCCTTTGAGCCGGGGTACTGACCTTGCAGGCAGTGGGGGAGACCTCAAGTCCCAGGACACCCCCACAATAGCTTGAGACCTGAGTATTGGTACTGGGCACCCCTCACCTGCTGGCAGGTGGGGTTAGCTGAGAGGATACCTGTGAATCCCAGAAAACTAGAAACCTATGACACATGTGTAAGGTAAACATTGTGACTGCCGAATCAGCCTGAGACCTCTTCAGGGGTCCTGCCGCATCCCAAGCCATCTGAGCTTTTAGGATTACACAGTCCTGCTCAGTGGGACCTGGGATTTGTGCACCCTCCTTACCAACAAATTGGCAGAGCACCTGAGTGAGTGCTGCTTGAGCAAATGCGTGAAGGAATGAATGGGTGGCAGAGGGTCTGCTCAGGCGTCACAGGTGGAGGGACTGGCCAGCCTTGCTTTGTTGGGAAGCCGGAGGGGGGATCCACAGCCCCTCAGCCAGGCTTGAACGCCTGCACCCTGCCCCTCGTGGAACCCTTGAGCCTTTCAGGCCTTGAGCCATGCCCCTGGGTGGACCACCCATCCGTGGTACATGTGGTGGTGTCTGAGGCTCTGGGGTCCAAGGCTGTGCTGGGCCCCTCCCTGGACATTGGGCAACTTGAGGTTTGATTTTGGTCACCACCCACCCCACCTCCTCCATCCCCTTCTCCATCCCCTTTTCTGAAGACGTGCCTTCACCCCTGGCCTTTTCTCTCTTCTTCCTTGGGGTGCAGATCCTGGCCAACGTCTTCCTCTACCTGTGCGCCATCGCTGTGGGCATCATGTCCTACTACATGGCTGACCGCAAGCACCGCAAGGCCTTCCTGGAGGCCCGCCAGTCGCTGGAGGTGAAGATGAACCTGGAAGAGCAGAGCCAGCAGCAGGTGAGGCTCTCGGGAGGCCTCGGGCCTGGAGCTTGGGCTCAGGGACTGTGGCCTTGTCAGAGGGAGAGGAACCAGAGCGGCAGCCCCTGGCTCCGTGGGGCTTGGCGTTCATCCACCCTGTTCAGGTGTTTGCTTCTGAACTTTGTCTTCTGGGCTCCTCACTATTAGAGGGCAGCTTCTGAGCTTCAGGGAGCCTCTCACTCCTAAATCTGCTTCTGCTTGACCCAGATCTCTCCTCTTCTGCCTTCCTGCTCTTTGTTTTGTTTTCGTAATGTAAAACTTTTCCCTTTCAAGAAATGCATTGCCCAAGCAGCCAGCTATGACTTCCTGCATTCCTTTCTCAGATGACCTTCTCGGGACCAAGGTCAGGGTCAGGGGCATCACGGGCATTCCTTCACGTCACGCCTCCACCACCACTCTTGCTGGTCCAACCGCAGATCCACCCTGTGCACCTGCTCATGCCGTGGGTGGGGCCTTGACCCATCCTGCGGCCTCAGGGCCCTGCTGGGTGAAGTGTGTCAGCCTCACACCCCCACTCAGGGGAGCTCCTCCCTCCCTTACCTTCCCATCTGAGGTCACTGCTGAAGAAGGAAAACCAGCCTGTTCCCCGGGGATGCCCTTGTTTACATTCTCCATCTGGAGAGAGGCCTCGCTGTCCCTGCCTCGGTTTCCTGGCTTTCCTCCAGTCTCTTCCATGGCCGCACCATCCTCCCAGTTCTCATGTCACTCAGGCTTGTACATAGTTTTGGCCTGGATTAATCTCACATGCTTTTTGAAGGTCTCCAGAAATTACACCCACCAATTTCCTGTTATCCATAGGGTTATTTCCCCTTCAAAAACAAACTCAATAGGTTGACACTATGATTCTCTGCTCTGGGAACCATGTCATCTGTGTTCAGGAGGTTCTGTGTGCTCCTGATTCACTGAAATTGCTGTTTTCATAGATGCTGCCACTCGGGTGGACAGGGCCTTGGTTTCGGGGGCCACTCCGGAGCCCTTGGCTTGCAGGAGCCCCACCGTCGGGCCTCACTCACATTCTCTAGACAGTGCTGTTCCGAGGCACACACTAAGTCATTTAGCTGATGGGCCTCCGATTCCACTGTCCTGGGGATGTTTTCTTCCTCCCCGTTTACCAATCTCATTCCTTACAGAAGGCCCCCATAGGAGGGGATTTTCCCTGGCTGCCATTGTGACAAAGGTCCAGGCTTAGTAGCCCATCGTATTCGCCCCTTCCCCTGGGCCCTGTGACCTGTGGTTATTGAGGAGCTGCTGTGGCCTGTGTATATTTAAAGAATCCTCCTTTCCTGGCTTGTAAAGCCCCTTGAAAGGCATTCTTCAACTCTGTTTTTTTTTAATACTGTCTCATTTCTTGTTTGTATCTGATCTCGCACTGTGGAGGCATCCCTCTGGGTTCTCTGCACTTAAAAAAAAAAAATGCATGTGTCACCGCCTAGCTAGGCGAGCATTCTTTTTATATAACATTTGCGCAGTTTTCAGCATGTCTGTCTGCATTGATCTTGTCTGTCTCATATTGTACAATCTAGGACATCTTAACTCACACTGAACCGTCTTGTGGAGGCCCCCTGGTGTGATGAGGAAGGCCCTGTGTTTCACCCTGGGGCTGTTCTCGTGTAGATAATTTAGATAAGTTATCCACCCTACAGAGCCTCACTTTTCCTCATCTGCAAAGTGGAGGTATTGACATTTGTCTTGTAGGTTTCTTGAGGGTCAAATGAGAAACCCAGAAGTGCTTTGTAACCCATAGAGCTTTTTTAGAGGTAGGCCGAGTGCACGGGGCCATGAGGCCTGCTTTCTAACACCCAGGGCCATATGCTTCCTCTGGGCAGGGTCAGTGCAGGGAGCCTGGGCACCAGCAGAGAGGGTCATCCCTGGGTGCCCCAGGGCTCCTGAGGGTGCTAGCAGCCTGCCCGGGCCACAGTGGTGCTTCTCTGCATTGCCTGCCCACGCTGCAGTGGCAGAGCAGACATTGGCCCCAGGATGGAGAGGTCCAGGTTAGGTGGAAGGGAGGTGCAGAGGTGTGGGGGGAGTTGAGGGGTAAGGTGCATCCTCAGGCCTAGCTGGGCACACAGCCGGAGCCTAGAATTCTCCAAGTGGGATGAATTTGTCTAGCCAGGCTCTGTCCTGAGTGTGGCCTTGGGCTCGTTGCTGCCCCTCTTTGGACTTCAGTATCCCCATATGTAAAACTTTTGAGAGATTTTTTTTTCTTTCTTTTTTTTTTTTTTTTTTTGACATGGAGTCTTGGTCTTGTCACCCAGGCTAGAGTGCAGTGGCACAATCTCGGCTCACTGCAACCTCCGTCTCCCGGGTTCAAGCGATTCTCCTGCCTCAGCTTCCCAAGTAGCTGGGATTACAAGCACCTGCCACCACACCTGGCTAATTTTTTTTTTTTTTATATTTTTAGTGGAGACGGGGTTTCACCATGTTGGCCAGGCTGGTCTCAAAACTCCTGACCTCAGGTGATCCACCCGCCTCGGCTTCCCAAAGTGCTGGGGTTACAGGCATGAGCCACCGTGACCTGCTGAGAGATTGTTTTAAGGGTAAGAAGGAATCTATGTGAATCCCACTGGGATTGGTAAAGCACTGTTACCATTGGGAAGGATGGAATCCTGCCCCCTGTGAGTTTCCATTTACCTACATTCTCCTTACGTCTTCTGTCTCTGTTCAAGAGAGAAACCTGCCTGCCATTTTCCTTCCTTTCCATGTGCTTGACAGGTTTTGGTATTACGGTTATGCCCAACTCATTAAATAATTTGAGAAGTTTCTAACCCCTGATAGTTTGAAGATAATTTGGGTTATTCCTTAAATTTGGAAGTCACAGCCAGGCATGTGGCTGGCCTGTAGGTGTGGCCAGGCAGGTGGCTATGCCTGTAATATCAGCACTTTGGGAGATTGAGACAGGAGGATCACTTGGGTCCAGGAGTTCAAGACCAGCCTGAGCAACAAAGCGAGACCCCATCTCTACAAAAAATTAAAAAATTAGCTGAGTGTGGTGGTGCATGCCTGTAGTCCCAGCTACTTGGGAGGCTGAGGTGGGAGGATCGCTTGAGCCCAGGAGGTTGAGGCTGCAGTGAGCCATGATTGTGCCACTGCACTCCAGCTTGGGCAACAAAGTGAGATCCTGGCTTTAAAAATAAAAAAATAAAAATAAAAAAGGCCCTAATGAAGAAGTCCTATAGGCCTGGAGTGTTCTTTAGGGGAAGATTCTGTTTCCGTCATAGATAATAAGGTTGTTCAGATTTTATATTTCCTTTTATATAGGTTTTAGAGAGGTTTTTTTCCCCCAGAAACATGTCCATTCAAATTTTCAAAATTTTGGCATAATATTCTTAATATTTTCTTTTTATCTTTTGTCTGAAATGGGTAATGATGTTCCTTTTTTTCATTACTGAAGATAATTTGTGCCTTTTTAAAATTTTTCTTAATCAGTCTTGCTAAGGCTTATTGTTTTAGCCTGTTCAGCAGACCACCGTTAATCTTTGTTGCTTTCTTTGTACATTTCTTATCTCTGATTTATTTATTTATTTTGAGACGGAGTCTGGCTCTGTCACTTAGGCTGGAGTGCAGTGGCGCGATCTAGGCTCACTGCAAGCTCTGCCTCCCGGGTTCACGCCATTCTCCAGCCTCAGCCTCCCGAGTAGCTGGGACTACAGGTGCCTGCCACCATGCCCGGCTAATTTTTTTGTATTTTTTTTTTTTAGTAGAGGTGGGGTTTCACCATGTTAGCCAGGATGGTCTCCATCTCCTGACCTTGTGATCTGCCTGCCTCAGTCTCCCAAAGTGCTGGGATTACAGGCGTGAGCCACCGCGCCCAGCCTCTTATCTCTAAGTTAAACTTTGTCATTGCCTCTTTTTTCTTTGGGCTTAATTTGTGTCCTTTTTTACCTTCTTAAAATGGAACTTTATTGTTGTTTTTTGGAGACTGAATCTTGCTCTGTTACCCAGGCTGGAGTTCAGTGGCGCAGTCTAGGCTCACTGCAACCTCTACCTCCTGAGTTCAAGGTATCCTCTTGCCTCAGCCTCCGAGTAGCTGGGAACACGCCCGGCTAATTTTTTGTATTTGTAGTAAAGACAGGGTTTCACCACGTTGGTCAGGCTGGTCTCGAAACCTCGGCCTCCCAAAGTGTTGGGATTACAGGCGTGAGCCCCCAGGTCCAGCCAAAATAGAACTTCAGATGACCGATTTTCAGCCTTTCTTTCCTAAAACATGCATTTAATGCTACAGATCTCACTCATTACATTGTTTGAGCTTTATCTCACAAGTTTTAATATGCCATATTTTCAGTGTCGTTTAATTTAAAATATTTACTAATTTTCATTGAAATGCCTTTGATCCATGGGCGACGTAGAAGTGCACTAAGTTCTAAACATTTGAGGATTTGTTTACAATTATGTTGTTTTTTATCTTTATTCTGGTCAGAGAACATACTCTAATTTCAAGTCTTTGAAATTTCTTGGAACTTGATTTTTGGCCTAGCATGTGGTCAGTTTTGATGCACTTGAGAATAATGTATATTCTGCCAAATCTGTCAAAATCTTTAAAAAATGAAATAATGTCAACTATGTCATATTTGCATCTGCCCCAAATTAGTACTTACCTCTTTAGTCATGATGCAAGGACCTCACAACCTTTTAACTTCATTTCACAAGCCTCTGCCCCCCACTTTCTGCTTATTAGTATAATGTGTTTTAGTTCAACATATTTTAAACCCCACAAGTCCTTATTGTGATTATTTTATGTAATATTCTTATTAATATTCTTTACTTATATTTACCCACAGTTTTGCCCTCTCAATTGCTCTTCCTTTCTCCATTTCTTTGCTTCATTTTCTTGAAGAATTCCCTTTAGTATTACCTTTTATGCTGATCTCTTGGTACCAAATTCTCTCCATTTCTGATTACCTAGGAGTGTGCTTATTTTGCTTTCATTTTCGAAAGATACCTGTCTTCATCCGTTTTGTGCTGCTACAACAGAATACCTGAAACTGGGTAATTTATAAAGAACAGAAATTTACTACTTACAGTTCTAGAGGCCGGGAAGTCCAAGATCAAGGCACCAGCATTTGCTCTGGTGTCCATACATGGCAGAAGGGTGGGCTAGCTGAATGTTATGTGATGCCCCTTTTAAAAGAGCCTTAACCCTCATGGCCTGATCCCCTCTTAAAGGCCCCACCTCTTAATAGTATTACATTGGCAGCACCTGAATTTTGAACAGACACATTCAAATCATGCCAAGACTTTTTGCAGATAATTCTAGGCTGCCATTTTTTACTTCTAGCCCTTTAAAAGCATTTCACTATCCTTCCCGCTTCCTTCATTCCTGTTGAAATGCCAGTTGTCAGATAGACTGTTGCTCCCGTTACATTAATGCATACTTTTTCCTGTGGTTGCTTTCCCAATGCTCTTTGTTTTTGGTTCTCAGCAGTTTTACGATGCTGCGCCTGGGAGTTTTCTTTGCAGTTGCTCTGCTTGGTATTCAAAGAGCTTCTTGAATGTTGGTTTGACATCTCTCGTCAGTTTTGAACATTTTCAGCCAGTATCTTTTTATTGCTTCTTCCCATTCGCTCCTTTCCTCTAGGACTCAATATCCTTGTTAGACATTTTTACCATGTTCCAGAAGTATCTCTCTTCTTTTTCTGAATCTTTTTTTCTTTTTGCACTTCAGACAATGTTTTGATGGGCCTAATCTACAGTTTACTAATCCTGTCTTCCTCTGGTTTGTCAGATCAGTGGTTGAGCTCTTTTATTGAGTCATCAATTTCAATTATATATTTTTCTGTCCTAGAATTTCCATTTGATTTTAAAAACTGGACTTAGGTCCCTAACGATGTATTCCTATTTTGTCATCTATTTTTTAGAATATATTAAACATTTATTTTAAAGTTCCTGACTGACAACCATAATAATACCAATGGGTATGCATTTTTTTGTTGTTGAAACCTGGCATCTTGGCCTTTTTTTTTTTCTTTTTTTTTTTTTTTTTTTTTGAGACAGGGTCTTGCTTTGTCACTCAGGCTGGAGTGCAGTGGCTTATGCATCTTCGAGTTCCTGGGCTCAAGCAAAACTCCCACCCCAGCCTTTTGAGTAGCTAGGACTGCAGGCGTGTGCCACCATGCCCAGCTAATTAAAAAAATGGTTTTTTGTAGAGATGGAGTCTCACTGTGTTGCCCAAACTGGTCTCAAACTCCTGGCCTCAAGCAATCCTCCCACTTTAGCCACCTGGCATTTTTAAAAATTAAATACTAGATATTGTGGATGGGAAATAGTAGTGCTTCTGAATAATGTTGTGTCTCTCCAGGGAAGATTTACTTTTCTTGTGGCAGATGGTTAGAGCAGGGGCAGATAGGAAATAGCTTCTCAGGGGTCTTACCTGAAAGGCTGGTGCTTTTCTCATGGTATCTTGAACTCCTCAGCAATGTGAGGCTACTGAAAGCTTAGCCTCTTAGTCTCACTTTCTGCTTGGATTCTTGGTCTCTTGCCCCATGCAAATACTAAAGGGTAATAGTGTACAGAAAGTCAGACTCACTGTTGTATGGTTCTCTTTCCCCGGGGTCTTAGCCCCTCTACTCTCTCTGCCTTGGAATCCTTGCTCACAGTCCTTGTTTCTCCAGCCCCTTGAAAGCCCTCATCATTGCTCTCTCTCCAGCCTCTCGACCCTGGTCGCAAGGGAAAAGTGGTGGAGTGCATTGGGCTCACTTAAATGTGTTTCCCTTCCCCTGAGATCTTGGCCCCTCAAATCCTGGCTGCTTTGGTTGTTTCCATTGCCTTTAAAGAGCTAGGTTCTTTTTATGTATTTTATCCAGCTTTTATAGTTGTTCTTGGCTGGAGGGTTGGCCTGCTATAAGATCCTCTATAGCAAACGTATACATGTATAAAATCGTAAAAGTATGAAAAAGGGTATACTAGGAAAAGTAAGTCATCCCACCTTCATTTCCCCTAGCCATCCAGCCCCCATCCATGAATCACCAGTCACTATTATCTTTTTAATGTACCCTTTCAGAGGTTTATAGAATTTTCACACACACACACACACACACACACACACACACACACACACACACAGATGATAGCCTATTCACTCTTTTGTACTAAATCTATTTTTCTTTTTTTGAGACAGAGTCTCACTCTGTTGCTGAGGCTAGAGTGCAGTGGTACAATTTCGACTCACAACTTCCGCCTCCTGGGTTTAAGCGATTCTCCTACCTCAGCCTCCCAAGTAGCTGGGACTATAGGCATGCACCACCACGCCTGCCTAATTTGTGTATTTTTAGTAGAGATGGGGTTTCACCACGTTGGCCAGGCTGGTCTTGAACTCCTTACCTAAAGTGATCTGCCCGCCTCGGCCTCCCAAAATGCTGGGATTACAGGCACTAGATCTTTTCACCTACTATCTTAGAGAGCATTCTAAGTCTGTATTGCATTGCCACAACCTTCTTAATGACTGTGTTCAGTCATTATACAAAAGTAACAATTTATTTTGTTGCGCTCTCCATAGATTTCTAGGTTATTTCCAATCTTTTGCTACTGTAAACATTGCTGTAATAAATATCCTTGTAGCGGTATTTATTATATCATAGTATATATGTGCAAGTGTATCTGTGGAAGAATAAAAACCTAGAAGTGGAATTGCTGGATCAAAGGACATTTGCATTTTAAAAATTATATATATAGCTACTGTAAAATATACATAGTATAAAATTTACCATTTTAATCATTAAGTATACAATTCAGTGGCATTAAGTGCATTCACAATGTCGTGCAGCCATCACCACTGTCCGTTTCCAGAACTTTTTCATCATCCCAAAGAGAAACTCTGTGCCCATTAAACAATAACTGCCCATTCTCCCAGACTCTGGTAACCACTGTTCTACTGTGTCTCTGAATTTGCCTCTACTAGGTCCTTTATATAAGCGGAATCATGTATTTGTCCCTTTTTGACTGGCTTATTTCACTTAGCATGATGTCTTCAAGGTTCTTCTGTGTCGTCGGGCAGATCAGCATTTCTTTCCCGTTAAGGCTGATATCTCCTTGCATGTATACACCACGTTTTGTTTGTTCATTTGGACATTTGGGTGTTTTCTGCGGCTTTGCTATTGGGAATGGTGCTGCTGTGAACACGGGTGTACAGATATCTGTTTGAGTCCCTGTTTTCAGTTCTTTTGGATATATACCCAAAAGTGGAATTGCCAGGTCATATGGTAGTTCTGTGTTTAATTTTTTGAGGAATCTGGAATGTGCTTTTTTTGTTTTGTTTTGTTTTTTTGAGACAGAGTCTTGCTCTGTCGCCCAGGTTGGAATGCAGTGGTGCGATCTCAGCTCACTGCAGCTTCCGCCTCCGGGTTCAAGCTATTCTCCTGCTTCAGCGTCCCGAGTAGCTGGGATTACAGGTGCCCACCACCACTCCCAGCTAATTTTTCTTGTATTTTTAGTAGAGACGGGGTTTCACCATGTTAGACAGGCTAGTCTCGAACTCCTGACCTCTGGTGATCCGCCTGCCTTGGCCTCCCAAAGTGCTGGGATTACAGGCATGAGCCACCACGTCCGGCCTCCTATAGAGCTTCAAACAATTTATACTCCACCAGCAATGAGTGAGAGTATACTTAGGCACTTAAGTTTTCCTTGTTTATCTAGAAAATACCTCATTGCTTTTGGAAACCCTCCCCAAAGGATTCCTATTTGAAAACCCCAGCCCCAGGGAACCAGCCTCAAGGCAGGAGTGACATCCTGTGGGCTGTTTCCTGCCTTATCCTCATTTGGCTCAAGCCACAGACAGATAAACTCAAGTTTGGAAGAGTTCCTTTGCTTTCTTGGCCTACACTGTGTAATATTTGGCAAGAATATACAATTATAAAGAAATAAAAAAGAGGTTGGCATAGTGGCTCAACGCCTGTAATCCTAACACTTTAGGAGGTTGAGGCAGGAGGATTGCTTGAGGCCAAGAGCTCAAGACCAACCTGGCCAACATAGTGAGACCTCCATCTCTAAAATAAAAGACTGATAGAGGCTGTATTAGGGTTCTCTAGAGGGACAGAACTAATGGAATAGATATCTATGAAGGGGAGTTTATTAAGTTTTGACTCACATGATCACAAGGTCCCACAATAGGCCATCTGCAGGTAAGAGCAAGGAGAGCCTGTCCGAGTTCCAACACTGAAGAACTTCAAGTCCACTGTTGGAGAGCTGGATGCATCCAGCACAGGAGAAAAGTGTAGGCTGTATGGAGGCTAGGCCAGTCTCTCTTTTCACCTTTTTCTGCCTGTTTATATTCTAGCAAACTGGCCACTGATTAGATTGTGCCCACCCAGATTTAGGGTGGGTCTGCCTTTCCCAGCCCACCGACTCAAATGTTAAACTCCTTTGGCAACACCCTCACAGACACACCCAGGATCAATACTTTGTATCCTTCAATCCAATCAAGTTGACACTTAGTATTAACCATCACAGAGGCATATTCCTTCAAGCCTTTTTTTTGGTCCTGATATTTGAGAGTGTCCTAGCCATGTTTTATCCTGATTAAGAGATTATAAATGTAACACCTTCCTCTCACATAGTATAGCAGCTGAGAGCCAAGTACCAGAGTCTCTGCCCCTCTCCTATGGCCTTAGGGGAGATAAGTGTTAAGTAGTTATTGCACAGTGCCTGCACATAGACACTCAAACTCTCTACCATCATATGATTGTTGGATACAATTTTGAAGATATAGAAAAGTAGAAGAGGCCACCAAAACCTCCCTTAATCTGGGACTTTTTTTGAAAAATAATTTTTAAAAATGAATATGGTATTATAAATTAGATATGCAGTTAGAAAAACTCAGGTTTGCTTCATTTTTTTTTCTTTTTTATAGAGCTAAAATGAAACCCCTTGAAAGTGGTTTAGTACACTCACCATGTTGTGCCACCACCACCTCTAGCTAGTTCCGCAACATCTTCCCCCAAAAGAAAACTTGGGACCCGAGCTTGATTTTTATTTGTTTTTATTTTTTTTAATTAATTAATTTTTTTTTTTTGAGGCGGAGTCTCGCTCTGTCCCCGAGGCTGGAGTGCAGTGGCACGATCTCGGCTCACTGCAAGCTCCGCCTTCCGGGTTCACGCCATTCTCCTGCCTCAGCCTCCCGTGTAGCTGGGACTACAGGTGCCCGCCACCATGCCCGGCAAATATTTTGTATTTTTAGTAGAGACGGGGTTTCACCGTGTTAGCCAGGATGGTCTCGATCTCCTGACCTCGTGATCCGCCCACCTCAGCCTCCCAAAGTGCTGGGATTACAGGCGTGAGCCACCGCGCCCGGCTACCGAGATTGATTTTTAAAACCAGATAGAAAGGGACCTGGTGAGCCCTGGGACAGGCCTTGCACGTGAGGACAAGGGACCCAGACCCTAGCACAGTCCCACAGTCCTATGCTCCAGCCTCACCTTGTGGTGGATACCTGTCTGTACTGGGGGTTGGGGAGGGATGACCCCGCTGGTCATCTTGGACCTGGATTTGCATCCACAGCCTCTGCCAGCGTTTTTGGGGGACTGTGAGCCCTGGCTTTCTCTGTGTGGTGTTGGTACTTTACCTCTCTGGTCTTTAGTTTAATTTTCTGAAAATGGGATTAAAAATAATACCATTGTTAGGGGATAGTTTGGGAATCACATGAAATAAGGCAGAGGGGAGTCTAAAAACCATGAAGCCCTTTGGGGCTCCAAGATGCCGTCACGCTGGCCCCCAGCCCCTGGGGAGGCACCGGCTGAAGTCAGGGTGGTGAGGTAGGATGGGAGCTGGCTGGGGCCTGTGCATCCTTCCCCTTCTCTCTTCCAGCCAGGACAGAGGTCACTCCCTCCCAAGGCATTGGGGCTGACGTTGGGAGTGGCGTGGGCTCTGGGCTGATTTGACGTTTCAGAAACATCAGCTGACGGGTCTTCGGAGCTGAGTGCAGGCCGGTACTAGAGGCTGCATGACCCCGTTTCACTTTCCTCCTGTAAAAGCTCCTCATGAGAATAAAAATGAGATAATAGATGGAAAAACACTTTGGAAAGGGCCGCAGACAGTCCTGGTATGAGAGGAAACAGAACCTGGTTTGGAAGTGGCTCCAAAGAGCCATTTGAGGTCAGTGTCAGAGCAGGCCATCCCTTACTTACATGTGTGCTTAATGTCTTTTTTAAGAAAATTCTCCATTTAAAAAAATTATGAGTGTCTCCTATAAAAACAATCGTTAATCTACCCTCTGCAAAAAAGGGGCCTCCTTCCAGAATTGAGTGCCCAGGGTCCATGTCTCACTTTTTATTTGGTCAGGTGCTCTTATCTTTTTTTTTTTTTTTTTTTGAGATGGAGTCTCACTCTTTCGCCCAGGCTGGAGTGCAGTGGCACGATCTTGGCTCACTACAACCTCCACCTCCCAGGTTCAAGCGATTCTCCTGCCTGAGCCTCCCGTGTAGCTGGGACTACAGGTGCCCACCACCACACACAGCTAATTTTTGTATTTCTAGTACAGACGGGGTTTCACCATGTTGGCCAAGCTGGTCTCAAACTCCTGATCTCAAGTGATCTGCCTGCCTTGGCCTCCCAAAGTGCTGGGATTGCAGTCGTGAGCCCCATGCTCGGCTATTTATCTTGTTTTCTAAGCTGCCTTAAGAGTGTGCGGCTGAAGGGCAGCCCTGGCCATGTGGCTGTCCCAGCAGGTGTCTCCTCGCTGGGCCTCAGCTTCCTCCTCTGCTGTGAAGTGAGGTGTAGGGATGCGCTGGTGACCTGAGCCCGCTCTCTCTCTTGCCATCCCCTGGGAAGTTGTACCTTCTGTTATGAAGATGACCAGCCTCCTAATGACAGTCAACTCCCAGATGGGTGGGCAGCCAGCCATGGTCCAGGAGGGTGAGGCGGCACAGTCCCTCAAGCACAGGCATCCCTTTCTGCCTCCTCACTGGGGTGAGCATGTCCACATGTCAAAGGGTGCATTGAGGCAACAGAGCATTTGGGTAATGGCAAGGGTCTCAGATTCCAGTGGCTTTGCTGCTTTAACCTCCCTGGCTCCAGTCTCCTTCAGGGAGGTAGTGGAGCCTGCCCTGCCCTGAGGCCTTGTGGATTTGGAGCTCTTGGTGCAGCCCTGGCATGCGAAGCGTCCTCTTTGCCTCTGCCGAACACATATCTGGCTTCGCAGGCAGTGCCATGGCGCTTCCCTGTGGTGCGGGGCCGCCAGGGTGCATGCTGACCTTGGTCCAGCCTCCCGGCTCTGTGGGCATGTGAGGGTAGAGCAGGAGGCCCAGAGGACAGAACTGGAGTTGTTTGTCTTTATTCCCATGTGACCACACTTCAGGGGTTAGTTGGGGACCTTGAGGGTTGCTAAGCACCCCAGCCGCCACCTGGCAACAGGCGGCACCCAGAAAACCCACTCAGCACACACCTGCTGCCAGGTGGAGCTACAAAACTGAGCCTCTCTGAATCATACTCAGAATCACTTCCCAGGGATCGGAACATGGTTGACGGAGGATGTGGGAAGATGGAGGGATGACAGGGGCAGGCCTATGCTTCCTTCACACGCGTCCTGTGTGGTTAACTGGCCCTGTGCCTGGTCCTCCCTCGGAGGTGAGGACTGTCCACAGTGCCCACCCTCAGACAGGAGGATGCTGCAGCCAGGGCACGTAGAGGGAGAGCCCAGGGCAGACTGCACAGGGTCTAGGGTAGAAAGCCATCCCCATCTTCACCCTTGGGATCCTGGGGAGACAGCTGAGGTGGACGCTGGGTGGGTTTCCATTCAGGTCTTGGGGGACTGCACAGAGACACAGCTGCCTCTCCCCACCTCTCCTTCTGCTTTAACCCACGTGCAGGGTCACCTGTTACTAGGGATGGTGTTTTTCCTTCATGCCGGTCTTACAGGGAAGAACCGCCCATTGACCACAAGCGTCAGGCCCCTCTCCTGGGAGCCCCGGAGCTTGGGACACTGGGAGGCTGCCATTTCCTAAGCTTGGATTGTATCTCTTGCTTTTCTGAATGTTCTTCCTCTGTAACCTTTGCCCAAGCCTGGTCACTGTTTCCCCCAAGACCTTTTGCTATTAGGACAAGGTGTCATCAACCCTGAGCCCTGTTCTTATAGGCGCTTGGTAGGGGAGAGGGGAGTCAGAGCCAGAGGCCAGTTGCCTCTTGGCCTGGGGTTGGGCTTCTAGTGCCAAGCCCCACCATGCCACTGTTATCCTGGCAACAGTGAGGTCGGGGCAGGGGGACCACTAAGAGTGGGAAGAGGAGACGAAGCTGGTGTCGAGTGGGAGGGCTGTGCCTCTGCCTGTGGATCCATAGCTGCTCTGCGTCTTGCTCGTTGCACCGTGGCTGCATCATGGCATTCTCCGCGTCTAATGTAATGGGTCAAATCCATTGTCTGCTTCACAGGAGACACACAGACACGTCCCCACCCCCAGCATCAGCCTTGCATTGTACTCGCTATCTTCTTCACAGAACCACCCACAAAGATATCTAATATTTTTAGTTTTTCTTTTAGCCTCGAATGCCTCTCAGTGTGAGAAAAGCCAGGTGCGTTCCCCATAATGCGAAGTAGGCACTGGTCCTTCTGTTGGTTCCAACTCTCACCTCTTGGATGTCACAGAATGCTCTTCATTTCAACATTCCAGGACTTAGCAAAACAAATCCACATTTCAGATAATGCAGATGATGAACCCATAGAAAACAGGTTGTCCTAAAGCAGTGGTGGGTTCCTGGTGGCAGTGGGAGGATGTTGGCTGTGTCAGGGTGGACCTGAGCAGAGCTGGTGAGGACAGTCCTGCTGACGGCCCATGCATGGGCTGTGTGGCCTCTGAGCTGGGCTCTGCTGGGCTGTGGCAGGTCTTAAGCCTTTGCCACATCCTCCAGCAGAATTTTTCTCCAAACAGTTGTAGAATTGCTGGAGAACTGTAGAGTTGTAGAATTGTAGAATTGTGCATTGTGGCCAGGGTTGTGGCGCATTTTATATTTATCTGGCTGTAAGAATGAAGTTTTGTTAGTAATGAGTGTAGTTTTATTGAACATTTATTTTGTGCCAGGCCCTGGATGGTGTTTTCATTGGATTATTTCATTTAATAATGAGATCTCTCATTTACCAGCTGGCACTTCCTCCTGGCTCTATTTGGGAGATCTGTTAATTAACAGGAAGAATCAGTTAGGTAGTCCTTGGACCACAGCTGGCCTGTGGGTATCTGTTTTGTTTGACCTTCCCAGAGTGTTAACATTTTCTAATACTTAAACATTTGTACATTCTGGATAAAAACCTGGATTTTTGACTCACTTAGAAAATGGAAAGATCTGTCAACAAAGGTTGCAAGTAAGACTTGCATTCACATTCTAACTGGGTCACTGAGCCCCTCTTGAGCCCAGGAGTCCAACACCAGACATGGCAAGACCTTATCTCTACAAAAAAACTTAAAAAAAATCCAGGCATGGTGGTGGTGCGCACCTGTAGTCCCAGCTACTTGGGAGGCTGAGGCGGGAGGATCACCTGAGCCCAGCAAGATCAGTGTGCAGTGAGCTGTGACTACACTTCAGCACTCCAGCCTGGGAGACAGCGGGACCCTGTCTCTTTAAAAAAAAAAAAAAAAAAAAAAAATTCAGACCACAAGTATTTCAGGACTTTTCTAGGCACTGGGGATACAGTTGTGAGCAGAACAGATTCTAGTGTGGGCAACACACATTAAACAGACGAGTATGTGCTATGTCAGGAGCTGGGAAGGGCTGTGGAGAGAAAGCAGAGGACGGAGCTTAGGGAGTGCCGTGGGTAAAGGTGGAAATTTTGTCGGTATAATTTTCTTGGGCCTTTATGCCCAGGGTGGTACTGAGTTGCTGCATCTGGGTCAAGGAGAGAATGCAAAGGGTCTGCTTTCCGCCAGTCACAGATACGAACCCTCCGCATCCTTCTCAACACAGGGCTCGAGGCAGCTGCTCTCTGCCCATCAGAGTTGGCACAGTACTTGTGACTACAGTGTTCTAGAGCTGCAATAGGTAGCAGTATGGTAGCCACTTGTCATATGTAGCTATTTAAATTAAACTTAATTAATTAGAAAATGTTAGTCTTTCAGTAGCACTAGCCACATTTCATGTGCTCAGTAGCTAAATGTGGCTGCCATATTGGACAGCAAAGATACAGAACATTTCTGTGATTGCAGGAAGTTCTATTAGCGCTGTTCTAGAGGATGGTGGCTTGCCCCTTGGGCCAGGTCTCCTAGTTGACAGCTCGTTAACTCTTCAAACCTCTAAGGAGTAGTACCTGCTCTTTGCCAAATAATTCGTGGTGAGGGCTCCAGGTACCACACACGTGGCCATCTTTGGGCCCAGTGGGCTGTCTCCTGAGACTGCAGTCACCTTGGCCTACACGGTGGCCCCTGTCTCTGGGGACTGCACAGGAGACCAGGCCAGTGACCAGAAGTCCCACATGTTCGGTGTCCCCTCTCCTGCTCTGGCAGGGTAAGAGCTCTGGGCTGACCCTGGGTCTGTGTGATTTCCGCACTGTTCCAGATGACATGGCCTGGTGGCTTGTTAGTCTGGCCCCGCCAACACTGAGATTAAATGTGGCCCTGCTTCTCTTGGGGCCTGTTGATCTGGGGACTCTGGGGACACTGGTCTGGTGCCTGTTCTCATGCTGGAGGCCTTGTTTCCAAATATGCTGACTTTTACAGTTATGCAGCTCCTCCCTCCTCTACGTTCCTACAGCATTTGGCTGAAGACTGTGAAGCACTCCTGCCCTGGGAGACCAGTCTCTCCCACGTGTGACCATTGCCCCACCCATCCAAGCTCTTTGGAGTACTGTTTACCTTTGACCTTCCCAGCATTTAGCTCAGGGACATGCATAGATGACCAGTGACTGTCCTTCGAGTGACTGAGGTGGGGAACACATCTCTTGGGCAGGGGCAGCACACGTGGGCCCCCTAGTCTAAATGGCGGCAGTATTGGAGTTTCCAGATTTCACACATTGTGGTACTTCGTCCCCTCATCCGGGAGAGGTGAGCTGTTTGGGCTCTGGCCTCCCAAGGTTACTAGGCCTGGTCCTTCTCTCCATTCCCTGCCTCCCACAGCCCCCTCTGCTTAGGTAGTCAGGCCATGATGGACGCCCTGGTGGGGTGCAGTGACTTTTTGGCTTCCAAATTGGCTGGACACTCTAAGAATCTGGATTAATCGGGACCAAGACAGACTGGTTTGTGAAACATCTGTGGGTATGCTCACAGCCTGTGATGGGTTACAGTGACATGTATTTGTCAAGCACATGGCACTTAGAACACATGAACACACATGGACACACCTACCCTACAGACAAACAGACTTCATATACATACCTCATGCAGACACTGTAGACAGTAGACACGTACATGCAGCTGCATGTGTGTACATGTGCAAGCGCTAACGCATGGACACACACACACACACTCTCCACATTCACACTCATTCCCAGCCACCTGAGCACTATGGGTCTCTCTCGACCTAACTGTCTCCCTCTTACAAGGATGTTGTAGAAACTTAGCTTCTCACCAGCCAACCTCATTTATCCAAATCCCTCCTGGCCTCCTTGCTGTAATTAACTCCTGAATGCCTCATCAGAGCCTCAGCTGTAACAGCTCGGGCCCCTGGGAACAGTGCTGGCTGCCTCCCCCTTCTATCTCTGTCCTGAGCCAGTGCGAACCAGGCCTGGCATGAGTCATCCCTGAGTAGAAGGGGGCTTGGGTGGTTCCTTCTCGGAGCCCTGTGGAGGCCATGCCGACAGATTGCCCTGGGGTGAGAAGCTCAACACATCTGCTCTCAGCTGAGATCCCAGCCCAGGAGGCCCAGCATCTTGCCCCAGGCCCTTCTCAACTCTCTACCCCACTGCAGGCCTGGGTGCTTCTTCCCAGGATCTGGGCAGGTTCTTGCTTTACCCAGGAAACCTACTAGGAACTTCCAGGGCTTGTTGTTTTTTCTCTGGACTTTGATTCTTTTCCCAGAGAGGGTCAGGGCCTTGACTTTTATTACCATGCTGTATTTTTAGGATAACCATCAAGGACTTGAAGGCTGAGGAGAATGAAGACTTTACCCTCCTTCTTCTCTGTGCAGAACCACATCTGGGCACCCAGGCCTCGGCCCCCAGGGTTTGGCCACATCCCCCTCCTCCGGTCCAGCCTTCCACCCCTGCTCGGCTCTTCCCGCAGTCTTCTCTCTCGGTTTCTGGGAATGGGAGTTCACCACCTCTCAGGGCAGCACATTCTTTGAACTGTTTGACTCTTTAAAAATTCTTCCTTCTCTGAAAGCAACATTCTGTTCCCCAGCAGCCTTTCCTCATTAGCTTTCTCTCTTGGGGCCTCCAAAGCAAGTCTTGTCCCTTTTCTACATAGCAGCTTTCCTCAGACTTAAAGACAGCTTCCTAAGAAGAAGGGGGTGGGGGGGACCTGGGGCTAAGGACACAGCCTGGTTAAGCTGGACCGGGGCCTTTTTATTTTTCTGTCACACAGCCCAGAGCCAAGGGGCTTGTTCAGGCAGCTACTTTATGCTGGGAATTCATTTTATTTTATTATTTTTATTTGTTTCGGGATGGAGGCTCGCTCTGTCACCCAGGCTGGAGTGCAGTGGCGCAGTCTCAGTTCACTGCAGCCTCTCTCTCCCGGGTTCAAGCGATTCTCGTGTTTCAGCCTCCTGAGCAGCTGGTATTACAGGTGCCCGCCACGAAGCCCTGCTAATTTTTGTATTTTTAGTAGGGATGGGGTTTCACCATGTGGCCCAGGCTGGTCTTGAACTCTTGACCTTAAGTGATCCGCCCACCTCAGCCTCCCAAAGTGCTGGGATTACAGGCGTGATCCACCATGCCCAGGCTGGGAATTCATTTTAAATCTAACAGCATCTCAAATGGTAGGTGTCCCCCTTCTAACCCCCGCAACATTGGTACATTGTGTCTCTCCCATTCTGTTCTCCTGCATTTGGTTTGGGAGTCTCAGGTACAGACTATGACCTCTATCCTTTTTGAATTTCATCCTGTATGTTGCACCAGATTTCAGCAGAACAAAAGCCACGAGCCACTTGTCCCAGTGACACGCCAGCCACACATTTCTAAATACATCCTCTGTATCTTCTGAGAAGTTCTCCTTCTGGAAAGATTTACACTTTAAACAAAGAGGCCTAAGAGATGCCCATTTTATAGATAAGGAACCAAGCCCCCGGGGTGAAGTACCTGCCCAGGGCATGGGGGCCTTTGCAGCCTAACCCCAGATCAGTGAGCTTTGCTGTACCCCCCAAAACCCCTGGGTGATATGGCCACTCCTCTGACAGATGTTCTGATTTTAAACATGCTTTGTTTCTTCAGCAAAGCCACCTTTGGGATTAGTCATTACTATCTTACGTCAACAGATACTCCTCTGTTTAGTCCAGGCCATCAGATAAAAAGTAGCTTCAAGTGAAGGAAGGGTCCTTTTTCCACAGTCCGGTTCTCTGGAACCCTGCCACCCCCTACCGAAAGTCACAGTCCAAGAGTGAAGCCACCACAGGCCACAGCTTCAAGACACCACAGCCTGAACAGGTGCAGTCCTGGGAGAAGTGGCCTCTGTGTCCTCAAGTAATTTTTATAAAGGAGAGACAACACCAAAGGGGCCTGAAATGGATCACAAGAATTCACATCATGATGAATATCACCATTCAATTGTGTACTGATTATTGTATATCCTCATTCAATGGCTATAGTCATTGTATATACAGATTCAGTATATATGAATCAGTATGTATGAATAATGATGTTCAGTGATGGGCATTGAATAGCGATGAAATGCCCAGTGCCAGGAGCTTTCAAGAGATAAGGCTCACTGGCCGGGTACGGTGGCTCATGCCTGTAATTTCAGCAATTTGGGAGGCCAAGGCAGGCAGATCACCTGAGGTCAGGATCTCGGGCAGATCACCTGAGGTCACCAGGCTGGCCAACATGGTGAAACCCCGTCTCTACTAAACATATAAAAATTAGCCAGGCATGATGGTGTGCACCTGCAGTCCCACCTACTCGGGAGGCTGAGGCAGGAGAATCACTTGAACCTGGGAGGCGGAGCTTGCAGTGAGCCGAGGTCGCACCATTGCACTCCAGCCTGGGTGACAGAGCGATGCCATCTCAAAAAAAAAAAAAAAAAAAAAAGATGAGGCGCGTTTCAATCTGAAAATCACACTATAAAACAATTGTAACAATAAAAAAGGATTACAGGAAAAGAAAACATACAAAGAATATGGAAGCTGCCAAGTGACCCCTGCCCCCTGGGCGCTGCCCTGTTGCACCTTCCCCTGCGGCAGCTCCTCACAGTGGGGTCCTGTGCCATCCTTGGGCTTTGGGAAGGGGGCAAGGTCGCCATACGTCGTGTCCTGAGGCGCGCAGCCATTTCCACCTCAAAACACATCGCACTGGCTTTGAGGGTCTTGTTTTCTGCAGCTTCCTTATACCCCAGTCCTCGGTTACAGGTTTTGCCTCCTAGTTTGATATGGCTGGAGGCAGTGCCTTTAGTAGGTAGACTCTTCCAGAATGTTGTACAAATAACACCCCTACACACACACACACACACACACACACACACACACACACACACACACACACACACACACACACCCTCCAGCTGTTCCTTTCCTTCAAATCTTGTTCCTCAAGAGAGACTTCTCAAACCTCAGGTGCACAGGTGTGCCTCACGGTCCGTGGCTTCCCCACCCTGATGAGCACGGGTGATGCTGAGTCCACAGCCCCACCAGCCACACTCTGGGTAGGGCAGCCTGAAGTCCTGGGGATGGGCTCGGCTGAACCAGGGCTGCACTCCCAGCACCGGCTCGGCCACTCTGTGTGGCAGTGACGAGGGCAACCCAAGTTTCCGCGGGCGTTGGCAGCTCGGGTCCTCGGGCAGCGGCTCCTGGCCGTGGAGAGGCAGGCAGGCGTCTGCTGGGGGTGTTGGGGAGCAGCAGGCCTCTGTCGAGGTCCGGGGCTGTCCTGGCATCAGGCCTCTCACGCTCAGCCCAGTTGAGTACTTTCTGAGTACACGGTGGCCACTCATGCCTGCTCTGAGGCCGGGCTTTGCCACGTGGGCCCCTCCTCTCCTCAGCCTGTGAGGAGTAGCACAGGGCAGTGAGGCCGGGGAGGCCGGGTGACCCACCAGTGTCCTTAGGCCACAGGGTGGGGAGGGAGCCATGGAGGCAGCACTCTCCTCCTCCGCTCCCTCTTCTCTGCTTAATGTGGGTCCCAGGGAGGACTCTAGGAGCCGCCACCACCACTGCCCCTGTACCCCCCACCCCTGCCTGGTGCCTGGCAATGGCAGCCACAGGACGTCTTTGAGGACATCAGATGCCGTGGGGACAGTGGATTGCAGAGGAGGAGCGGACCGGGGTGCTGGGAGACACATCAGAGGCTGTTGCAAGTTCCCCCCGAGGCAGCCGCTGGGCCGTTTCTGTGAGGAAGGACCCACCGGAAGGGGCTGCCTGATTCCCACGCCCAGGTGGCATGGAGCCCTGGGGAGGGTGTCCAGAGCCAGAGCCGCACTGTCAGGGCCTTACTATGTTACAAAACACCAGGGCTTCGGTCTGGGTCCTGCTGCTTGCACAGAAAGCCAATCACTGTGACAGCAATTATTGCCAAGGAATACGGCTTTAATCGGGTGCTGCGGTAGAGGATATGGGGACTCAGTCTCCAATCCATCTCTCTGACCTGCTAAATCCGGGGTTTACACGGCAGGGAAGAAATGGAACAACGCGCGAGACAATAGGAATGAGGGGTCCTGAGTCTCATTGTCTGGATGTGGTGACCTGGTTGGTGAGTTTCAGTTATTCAGTACTTCATTTGAGAGGCCTGAAGGTCCTTTGCTGAGGAAGGAACTCAGATAAGTAGAAGTTTTAAGCCTTAAGAGCAGAAGGATCCATTTCTATGTTTATTTAAAAGAACAGTCTATGGGACTTTTGGAAAGGTTTTAACCGATGCCCCTGGGCACTGGGGGGACCTTCACATCTGTAGCAGAACAACATTAAAGCAGATGAGAGAACTGGGGTGGGAAAAGCACAAAAACTCACCCATTCCAGGGGTCTCAGAGCCCTGGGTTCAGGGTCTACCGCTAACCCTTTGGGATGTGTAACAGACAACTTCATCTCTCTGTGCCTAGGCTTTGTCACCTGCAAACTTGAGACAATATTGCACATAAATAATACCGGGTTGATGCAGAAGTTTTAGCAAAGGAGAGGGATGATTTTGACTGGGTGGATGGTGTCTGTCACCTGGTGGGTGCTGGGTTCATGAGAGCTACAGAGCGAAGCCAGCCCAGGGTGACCGTTCTGTCTTTGGCTTCCTAGGAGGACCACTGCCTTCCCCCACCCCCATTTTGGCTGTGTGTCTCCTTGGTTCGTGCCTGGCCATAGGTTCCCCCTCCTCAGGTTATGTCCAAGCTGACTAGGAAGTCTGGAGCCAAGCCCAAAGGCCTTGAGGGATGTTCCCTTTCTAAGAAAACTGTGGTCCTTCCAGAGAAGCCGAGGTCAGGGATAGGATCACAGCTGGAGGCAACAGGAAGTTCCATGTTTATTTCCAGTTTAAAAAGTATTTTTAAAAAGAACAACCACCAGCACCCTATAGCAACTTTGAAAAACGTTTCAGGTTTTCCCTAATTCGGTCGTCCAAGTTAAATGAGCCTTTTCTCTTTGCATATAGCCTTCTGCCTTTATTTCTATGCACACATAGATCCCAGCGTCAGCTTCA
Organism: Homo sapiens; assembly: GCF_000001405.40. Lineage (NCBI taxonomy): Eukaryota > Metazoa > Chordata > Mammalia > Primates > Hominidae > Homo > Homo sapiens. The sequence continues at coordinate 24,850,890 of NC_000002.12, read as the reverse complement.
CAGAACACAATTTTGTCCCGCTCTTCTCTCTCTGTACTTTATTGCAATGATAAACAATACTGTTGTTTCATTATGGTCATTCTTAAGGTTGTAGAATCTTCCATCCAGAGGATGTGTCATTTTAATTAGCCATTTGCTGGGTATTTGGGCGACTTACAGTTTTTTCCACAAGGGTTAAGTCAAGTTGCAATGCAGATCACCTTCTACGTATATCTTTTTACTTCTGTTGGATTTGGGGGGATAAATTCTCAGAAGAGCTATTAATGGGTCAAAGGTTTGGAACATTCTTGTGACTCTTGAAACGTATAGCAACTGCTATCTTTGGAAGAGCAGGCTCTGCTTCCACGCTGGGGAGACCAAGCCACATTGATCATCCCTGGGGCCCTGAGCAATCCTAGGCTGCTATGGGTGGCCTCTCTCCCCTGCACTCCTGTCCCCCACTGTGGGACCCATTTGCCAGTTCACCTGGATCCCAGCCTCCTTCCTTCCCCCAGGAACACAAATGAAGGGGTGTCGGAGTCTTTAGCCAGGGCTCTGGAATGGTAATCAGGGATCTTCTGTGTGTGTATGAGCATTTTTCTAGAAGGTCCGTAGCTAGCATCACGCACTCATGAAAGGGGCCAGGATCCAGGAAAGGGTTTAGAACCTCTGAACTCTAAGGGCAAACAAGGCCAGCACCAATCGAGAGGCACCAACAAAGTGGGTGTTAGTGAGGAGGGAGGAACAGACACCCCTGGGCAGGGGCCAGGGGCTCTCTGGAGAGGTGACATGTGAGGTGGGTGTCGAAGGTGTGGGGAGGGAGGAATGTTCCACAGAGAGTGACACCAGAAGCAGAGGACAGGGAGGGGTACCGAGAAGAGGAAACAGTCCAGCTCATCTACCCTAAGGGGCCACAAGGAGAGCAGTGGGGGACAGGACTAGAAAGACAGGTCAGTGCCACCACTGAGGGTGCTGGGCAATGGTGTCGCACAGCTTAGAGGACATCCAGATACCGTGCCAAAGGTGGACTGAATGAGAGGAGCCGGCCGGCACCTGGGAGACACATTCAGAGGCGGTTGCCAGAGGCCCTGAGGCTTGGGGGGTGGCAGGGGGAGGGCCCCTCCCTCCGTGGGCCTTCGTCTCCCAGACCCCCCTCCTCCTTTCCCCTCTGTCAGGTTCCGTGTGTCCTTTCTTCTGCACGCACTGACGTCTTGTTTAAAACTCGTCTTGTTACCAGAATGACTCCAGGTAGACTGTTGGCCTGCTTCACTTTTTGAGCCTGACTATAAGGTTTCCACAAACCACACAGGGAATTGGCAGCCTGAATTTATAAGCATAGCTCCTTTCTTGTTATTTAAGTTTGATTTTCTGCTTTCAGAACATATTTGTGCTCTTAGCAAAGGTTATGGAAATATATAAGGGAAAAAAATGGAAATTCCCCCTGTCCCACCCCCAGAGAGAAGCTCACGGCCGCTTCACTCATGTGGCCCTTCCGAGGCTCCTGTTTTGGGCTCCAGGGCTGCCCTGGTTTTGTGCCTCTGCCGCTACTTTTGTTCTGTATTGGTAGACAGTCTCCGAGACCCCAGCCATACCGGGAGGAGGCTCAGCAGTGTCTGGAGGGAGAACCAGTACTGTGGTCAGGGGCATGGAGCTCCCACAGGACTGGATTGGACTCTCAGGTCCCCAAGGTTCCAAGAGAGCCTGAAGAGGCTTTTCTGAAGGGACAGAACTCTGAGGTAGACCCAGGAGGGCAGGAAAGGCCTGTGTGGGCTGTGGCTGCAGGAGCCACTGCATGTAGGCTGGGAGGGAGGCCAGCACGGTGCTGTGACGTTCTTAAACCTCACGTTCCACGTCCCTCCCTGCCCACACACCTGACCACGCCTCCCCATGCTCCTCACACATCTGCGCCCTCCTCACCCAAGCAGCACCCTGAATGCACACGTGGCGGGGGGGGCTGAGACTCAAATGGAAGGCAGGGCCCTTCCTTGTATCCCTTTGTTGTCCCACCTGCAGTAAGCAGAGCTCAGGAGACCAGGCTGAGTGACCCAGAGGGTTTGTGCTGACCCTGGCACATCTCACTGGAACTCAACCTAAAAACTTCTGGCCAACTTCAAAGCCCAGAGGAACATTAAGCCCTGTCTTTTTGAGCCACCTGCTGTCTCCACACCCTCAGTCACTCAGTCATACTTTCTATCATGTGACTGTAGGAAAAGCTGGACTATGGTGAGCGCTTCCTGTGGGCCAGGCACTGTTCTAAGTGCTTGCCGGCAATGAATTGTGTCCTTCCTGCTTTCCTGCCTAGGAAACCAAGGCACAGGGAGGTTTAGTATCCTGCCTTATGCCGAGACCAGCTCGGCTGGGGAGACCCTAACCCAGTGGTGCTAGAGAAATTAAAGACACGCACACAGAAATATAGAGGTGTGAAGTGGGAAATCAGGGGTCTCACAGCCTTCAGAGCTGAGAGCCCCGAACAGAGATTTACCCACATATTTATTAACAGCAAACCAGTCATTAGCATTGTTTCTATAGATATTAAATTAACTAAAAGTATCCGTTATGGGAAACGAAGGGATGGGCCGAATTAAAGGAATAGGTTGGGCTAGTTAACTGCAGCAGGAGCATGTCCTTAAGGCACAGATTGCTCATGCTATTGTTTGTGGCTTAAGAATGCCGTTAAGGGGTTTTCCACCCTGGGCAGGCCAGGTGTTCCTTGTCCTCATTTCTGTAAACCCACAACCTTCCAGCATGGGCGTTATGGCCATCATGAACATGTCACAGTGCTGCAGAGATTTTGTTTATGGCCAGTTTTGGGGCCAGTTTATGGCCAGATTTTGGGGGGCTTGTTCCCAACACCTTATAGCCACAGTGAGTGCAGGCAGGGCTGGGGGCTGAGCCAGGCCAGCACTCATGATCCTGACGGCTGCCTCCTCCTGCCCCGCGAGCCTCAAGCACACCAGGGCCGCACACTCCAGTGCGGGCTGGGATCCCCGGGATTACTGACCAGAGAAACCCAGCCCCAGCCCAGTGGGTGCTGCCTCCCACCTGCCTCCTCCAGACTCCTCAGCTCTGCCTGCCCCTCAGGACTCCCAGCAGCTGTCTGCCTTGAGAGGCTGCCCTCAAGAGCTGGTGGGGCCCCATCTCTGGCTTTTCTTGAAAACCTTCCTAGAGGCTCATCTTTTCTGCAAACCCAGAGCTTTTTCCACAATGTCTGGTTAGTTAGGTTCCGAGACGGGTCCTGTCCCACCCAGCACTTCACCCATTTCTTTGCATTGGGCATCCTCTCACCACACTTGACTGGCAGAGAGAGGGGAGTTGCCAAGCACCAAGGCTGCCTAAGTTGCTATCCCTGGGCTGCAGGGCCCTGGGAGAACTGGATGCCACTTCCCAGGCTTCGGTGGAGCCAGGGCAGGGCGTACTGGGATTACTTTGCCTTCTCATTCCTGAGCTGTAGTGCCATGCTTGAGGTTAACAGTGAAGAGATATTGCTGTGGAAATGGAAGAATAAGAGTGTCTTAGTCCACATTCATGCTGCTGATAAAGACATACTCAAGATTGGGAAGAAAAAGAGGTTTAATTGGACTTACAGTTCCACATGGCTGGGGAGGCCTCGGAATCATGGTGGGAGGTAAAAGGCACTTCTTACATGCTGGCAGCAAGAGGAAATGAGAAGCAAAAGCGGAAACTCCTAATAAACCCATCAGACCTTGTGAGACTTATTTGCTATCACGAGAATAGCACATGAAAGTCTGGCCCCCATGATTCAATGATCTCCCTCTGGGTCCCTCCCACAACATGTGAGAATTCTGGGAGATAGAATTCAAGTTGAGATTTGGGTGGGGACACAGCCAAACCATATCATTCCACTCCTGGCCCCTCCAAATCTCATGTCCTCACATTTCAAAACCAACCATACCTTCCCAATAGTCCCCCCAAAGTCTTAACTCATTTCAGCATTAACCTAAAAATCCATAGTCCAAAGTCTCATCTGAGACAAATCCCTTCTGCCTATGAGCCTGTAAAATCAAAAGCAAGCGGCCAGACATGATGGCTTACACCTGTAATGCCAGGACTTTGGGAGGCTGAGGCGAGTGAATCACCTGAGGTCAGGAGTTCAAGACCAGCCTGGCCATCATGGTGAAACCTTGTCTCTACTAAAAATACAAAAATTAGCCGGGCATGGGGGCAGGCACCTGTAATCCCAGCTACTCAGGAGGCTGAAGCAGGAGAATTGCTTGAACTGGGGAGGCAGAGGTTGCAGTGAGCTGAGATTGCACTACAGCATTCCAGCCTGGGGGACAAGAGCGAGACTTCGTCTCAAAAAAAAAAAAAAAAATCAAAAGCAAACTAGTTACTTCCAGATACATGGGGATATAGGTATTGAGTAAGTATAGCCATTCCAAATGGGAGAAATTGGCCAGAACAAAGGGGTTACAGGCCCCATGCAAGTCTGAAATCTAGCAGGGCTTCTTTGGAGCTTAAATTTTAAAGCTCCAAAATGACCTCCTTTGACTCCAGGTCTCACATCCAGGTCACGCTGATGTAAGAGGCAGGTTCCCATAGTCTCGGGCAGCTCTGCCCCTGGGGCTTTGCAGGGTACAGCCTCCCTCACAGCTGCTTTCATAGGCTGGCTTTGAGGGTCTGCAGCTTTTCCAGGTGCATGGTGCCAAGGTGTCGGTGGATCTACCATTCTGGGGTCTGGAGGACAGTGGCCCTCTTCTCACAGCTCCACTAGGCAGTGGCCCAGTAGGGACTCTGTGTGGTGGCTCCGACTACACATTTCCCTTCCACACTGCCCTAGCAGGGGTTCTCCATGAGGGCCCCGCCCTTGCAGCACACTTTTCCTTGGACATCCAGGCATTACCATACATCTTCTGAAATCTAGGCAGAGGTTCCCCAATCCTCAATTCTTGACTTCTGTGTGCCCACAGGCTTACCACCACATGGTAGCTGCCAAGGCTTGGGGTTTGCACCCTCTGAAGCCACAGCCCAGGCTCTGCATTGGCCCTTTCGGCCACGGCTGGAGCGGCTGGGACACAGGGCACCAAGTCCCTAGGCTGCACACAGCATGGGCACCCTGGGCCTGGCCCACGAAACTACTTTTTCCTCTTACACCTCAGGGCCTGTGGTGGGAGGGGCTGCCGCAAAGGTCTCTGACATGCCCTGGAGACATTTTCCCTATTGTCTTGGTGATTAACTTTCAGCTCTTCATTACTTACACAAATTTCTGCAGCCAGCTTGAATTATCAGAAGATGGGATTTCCTTTTCTATCGCATAGTCAGGCTGCAAATTTTCCAAATTTTTATGCTGTTTCCTTTTTAAAACTGATTGCCATTAACAGCACCCAAGTCACGTCTTGAATGCTTTGCTGCTTAGAAATTTCTTCCATCAGATACCCTAAATCATCTCTCAAGTTCAAAGTTCCACAAATCTCTAGGGCAGGGGCAAAATGCCACCAATCTCTTTGCTAAAACATAACAGTCACCTTTGCTCCAGTTCCCAACAAGTTCCTTATCTCCATCTGAGACCACCTCAGCCTGGACCTTATTGTTCGTATCACTAACAGCATTTTTGTCAAAGCCATTTAACAAGTCTCTGGGAGGTTCCAGACTTCCCCACAGTTTCCTGTCTTCTTCTGAGCCCTCCAAACTGTTCTGACCTCTGCCTGTTACCCAGTTCCAAAGTCACTTCCACGTTTTTGGGTATCTTTTCAGCAATGTGCCACTCTACTGGTACCAATTTACTGTATTAGTCCGTTTTCACGCTGCTGATAAAGACATACCTGAGACTGGGAAGAAAAAGAGGTTTAATTGGACTTAGAGTTCCACATGGCTGAGGAGGCCTCAGAATCATGGCGGGAGGTGAAAGGCACTTCTTACCTGGTGGCAGCAAGAGAAAATGAGCAAAAAGCAAAAGCAGAAACTCCTGATAAACCCATCAGATCTCGTGACATTTATTCACTATCACAAGAATAGCACAGAAAAGACCGGCCACTGTGATTCAATTACCTCCCTCTGGGTCCCTCCCACAACATGTGGGAATTCTGGGAGATACAATTCAAATGAGATTTGGGTGGGGACACAGCCAAACCATATCAAAGCGCAAAACCACTATTACTGCTTCAGGCAGGGGCCAGTGCCAGGCATGCTCACCTTGTCCTAATGGTGTGATTCCCTGCAAGAAAGGTGATAAATTCTCCCCATGAAGCCACAGAGTGCAGAAGATGGGGACCTGTAGCAGAGCTGATTCTCACAAGGGAGGCCTCTGGTTTACCAGGTGCTGAGGGCCCAAGTACAACAGCAGACTCTGGGGACCTCTTGGCAGCTCCACCCAGAGGAGTGGAGTTGAGCCTTCACCTCCTCCTGCCCCAAAGCAGGTGCATCTGACATGCAGGATGAGCTGGCCTCTCTCGGGCCTCAGGGACCCCTGAACTCAGCAGAGTCAGAGCACTTGCATGGTGCCCCCCTGCCCAGGCCTTGTCAGGAGGCAAGGTCCCTGGCTCCTGCTCCTGTGGCCTGGGACCCACAGCCATCCAGCCAGGCCCTAGGTGCTGAGGACCAAGCCACTAGTTCTTGGTTTTCTGGCCACCCAGGACCCAGGGTGGTAATGCCTGGGACCTGCACCCTAGGCACAGAGCTCCTGGGGGTCCTGAGTTCCCGCCCATGCACTCCTCACCTTTCAGCAGCCGACCCCATGGCGACACGGGCCTGGCCACCCGGAAGCACTCCACCCTGAAGGTCAGCGGGCACCTGTCCTCCAGCCACATCTCTGCCTTCCGGTTCCCTGGCCTCCCCCTGTGCCTGCTGCGGTTTCATTTGTATCTTGGCCCCTTGCTGGACACACTTTCTTTAGTTGTGTCCCTGCCATGAGCTAGTTCTCATGCCCCTTGGCCTTTTACAGTTTCCATCTTGCAAAACCTCAACTTGGGATTCTCCCCCAAGTGCCCCCCACCATCCTTCACCAGACGCCATCATCACCCTCCTCCCCTCAGGGATGGGGGCAGTGCTCCCCTCTTGACCAGCTCCCTGCTGAGCCTCTGGTCCCTGGCTTCGCCTCCGCAGCACCACATTCTGTCCCTGGTTTTCTCTCTCCGTACTGCTTATCCAACCCATGGCTTCCAGGCGGATGGTTCAGCCCACTGCCTCTCCTGAGCGCTGCCTGCAGGTGCCCGCACAGAGGCCCCACAGCGCCTCAGAACCAAACCCTGTCTTTGCCCTCATATCTGCCGCTCTTCCTCTGTTCCCTGTTCCAGAGACCGGCACCGCCCAAGCCACAGACCTCTTCTGACAAGAGCCACATAGTAAATATCTTTGGCTCTGTGGGCCATACGGTCTCTGTCGCATCTACCCCACTCTGCCATTGGAGTGTTAAAACAGCCAGAGACAATATATCAACAAATGAGCATGGCTGGGTGCCAGGAAAACTTTATGAAAACAGAGGATGATTTGAGCGCAGGAGTCCAAGACCAGCTTGGGCAACATGGCAAGACCCTGTTTCTACAAAAAATGTAAAAATTAGCTGGGTGTGGTGATGCATGCCTGTACTCCCAGCTACTCCAGAGGTTGAGGTGGGAGGATCACTTGAGTCCAGGACGTTGAGGCTACTGTGAGCCATGTTTGCACCACTGCACTCCAGCCTGGGCAACAGAGCAAGACCCTGTATAAAAAGAAGAAAGACAGCAGCAGTCAGATTGGGCCCACAGGCCACGGTTTGCTGACCCTGATCTAAACCATGCCCAGCTCTCAAGCCATGTTTCTGTTTTTACCTCCACAGAAATCCCTGAAGGACCCTGGTGCGCTTTGCGTGTGTCTGTGCGTTTGTGTACACGGCTGCCTCCAACAGGAGTGCCCTCAGCGTCGCGTCTTGGGCTCGACCAAGGCTCCTTCAGGAAGGCCTCCTTGATGCCTCCTCCCCGGCCGACCTTGGCCCCTGCTTCTCTCTTGCGCCGTCCTCTGCTCTCTCCTTTCTGGGCACAGAACTTGCCATGCTGCGCTGTGCTGGGCATGGTTACCTGTGTCCCCGTGAGACCCTCCGCTCTCTGAGGTGGACGTTCTTGCTGGTTTTGTGTCGCTGGCGCCTCGTGTAGTGCCTGGTCTGCTGTCAGTCTTTGATCAGGTCAAAGCAGAATTTTGTGAGCGATGGCTCTGTGCAGCCGTGGCGGGTGGCTGAGGTGACCCCGCAGGGCTCCTGCCGGGAGGGCTCACGGTGCAGCAGCCCACGCAGGACTGCTGCGCTTCTTGTGGCACGAGGATGCTGAGCACAGAGCCACGTTGGGATGCTTCACTGCGTTTCTGGCTCCCCTCAGTTGCTCTGAAGGGGCCATTGCCACCCTCAGCCTTGTCAGGGCCAGAAGCTGCCTGTCCCAGACCCCTGGCTGCTCCCGAGGCAGATCTGTGAGGTCTCTCTGGAGGGCAGCATGGTTCCCTGCTCACGTTTCTTGCCAGGATCGGGGCATTTCTTCCCAGAAGTATCTGAACTTGCCTCTAGCAGGGCCTACCTTTGCCTCTGACCCTCTCCTGCCCCTCACAGGAGAACCTCATGCTTTCCATCCTGCCCAAGCACGTGGCTGACGAGATGCTGAAAGACATGAAGAAAGACGAGAGCCAGAAGGACCAGCAGCAGTTCAACACCATGTACATGTACCGTCACGAGAACGTCAGGTACGCCGGCCCGGGGCGCGGGCTCTGATGGCAGAGCAGGCTGTGGAGGGCTGCATCTTTGTGGGACCCGCTAGGTGCTGTGGGCTTCAAGAGGTTTTCCAGGGACTAGAAGCAAGGCCTCCCACAGCATTCATCAGCCTGGCGGAGGAAGCTGCCAGCAGATGTTGAAGCTACAGTGTGCTCTAGGCTGCTTGGTCCAACCCCATCATAGAACAGATATCACCTGGAGCGGGGAAGGGACTCCTGTGAGGTCACCCAGCTGTTGAGGGCCAGCACTGGGGCTAGAGCCCTGACCTGTGATTCTAGGAAGAAGGATGAGTTCAGCCTGGGCAGGAGTGGGCAGTGTGGGGTGGTCCCCAGGCACCACAGGGAGGGAGGCCTGCAGGGGAAGTCTGCTAGGACAAGTGCAAGGTCAGAGCCCTGACTTTACCTGGAAGGGTCAGGGTCTCACTGTCTGGGGGTCGTGAGGGAGGACCTTCTCCTGCCCTGATCCTGGCTGCCCTGTGGGTTGGAGAGGGAGCTGGCAGTGGGGTCGGGTACACCTGGCTGCCTGGAGCGTCACCCCCACGGTTCCTTCCTCATGCAGCATCCTCTTTGCCGACATCGTGGGCTTTACCCAGCTGTCTTCTGCCTGCAGTGCCCAGGAGCTTGTGAAGCTGCTCAACGAGCTCTTTGCCCGCTTTGACAAGCTGGCAGCTGTAAGTCCCTGGCCCCGCCTGGCTCTCCAGCGGGGCCTGCCCTCATGGCCTCTGCCTGGCCCCCATCCCCGGCCCCATGATTTTCTCCCACTGTCCTTCCTCTGCTTTCTTGGCCACTCCTCCCTCACTGAGGAGGGGCTGGAGCACAGGCCAGGCCCTCCCCTTTCAGAAATACCACCAGCTGCGGATTAAGATCCTGGGCGACTGCTACTACTGCATCTGCGGCTTGCCCGACTACCGGGAGGACCACGCCGTCTGCTCCATCCTCATGGGGCTGGCCATGGTGGAGGCCATCTCGTAAGTGGGATGCCTCTGGGAGGGAGGCTCCCAGAGCAAGGGCCCCGGCCCTGGACCCAGGGAGAAGCAGGTCTTCCGCGCTGGCCATGGCCCCTGGGTGGGGGATCTGCTGGAAGCAGAGACTGGGACACAGCACTGGTTGATGGGTGGCGCAGGCTCCCGCTCTAGAAGCTGGGATGTGGCTTACCTTCCTCACAGCCCAGGGGACCTGCGAGGCTCCCCCAGCCTGTGGGGCACACTTTTCCAGCCTTAGTCCACGTATTCTCTTTTTGCCAGAAGTTGCAGTTGTGAATTTTCTCACGCCTCCTCACACTTGCTGGGACCCCCACAGGGGCTCCCCATCTCTCCTCAGTGTTTTCTCACCGTGACCCCCGAAGGCACTGCCCTCTCCATCTCGTGATGCAGTGACTGTAAGACCCTGGCAGAGGGGCTCAGGGATGAGGCTGGATCCCACCCCGGCCTCTGTGCTCCAGCCTTAGGCTGTGAGGGAGGCAAACTCTCCTGCCCTCACTGTCCCCTACTCTTGCCCCTGCTCCAAGTGGGCTTGCAGCTCTCGGATGGGCAGTCCCTCTGGTTGACTTCCAGCCTCTGCGGGACCCGGGGTGACATCAGGCACCAACACGGAAAGGGAAGCTCCTGCCGAGGCCCCTCCCCCATGGGATGGAGTCCAGGAAGTTGCCTGCTCTTTACCCCCTTCTCCGAGGGGGCGGCTTTGCATTTTTACCATCTTCCAGGTTAAAGCCCGTCTAGTATTGCCCTGGAAAGAAAGCAGTGTGGCCTTTACCCCAGGGGTGGTAGTCCAGGAACTCTAACATTCTCTCCCTGCCCTGTCAGACACGTTCAGGCAGGGGGCTGTTCACGGCTATTTTCTTCACCTCTGTGTCTGCAGCACCTTGAACGTGCCTGGCACATACTTGATGCTCAGTGAAATATTAACTGCACGAATGAATAAAAGAGTAATTGGCAGAGAGAAACTGAGGCCCCTCGGGAAGTGGGGATAGGGAGGAAAGTCGCTTGGTGCCCTCGTCCTGCTGGCCTGTGATGCCTGACTCTGGGCTGGCCCTGGCCTGCCTTACCCCCCACCCAACACCAAGCTGTGGGGACCTTGCCAGGCCCCCTCTTGTGGAGGGGAAGAGGCCCACAATGAATTTCTCCTGCAGGAGCAGGGGCAGCTGGCTGCCTCGTGAAGGCCACACCCTGACCCTCCTTTCTGTGTGTACCTGGCAGGTATGTGCGGGAGAAGACCAAGACTGGGGTGGACATGCGTGTGGGGGTGCACACGGGCACCGTGCTGGGGGGCGTCCTGGGCCAGAAGCGCTGGCAGTACGACGTGTGGTCGACTGATGTCACTGTAGCCAACAAGATGGAGGCCGGCGGCATCCCTGGGTGAGTGCCATTCCAAGGGGGCAGGTTTGAGGACTGGGGAGGGGACCGTCCCCTCCATCCCCCAGGGCTGTGACCCTGATGAGGGACAGGGGGCCTCAGAGAAGGCCTCCCTACAACCCCGGAACAGCATTCCTCCTGTCTCGCCCTGGTCCTGGCCCTGGCTAAGGCCGTTCTGACCTGCCTTGGGGTGAGGCCTCTTTGGGCCTGATATTGGATGTGGCTTTTCCTTCCTGGACCCTGCAGTAGCCTGTCCTCCTGTCCCCTTTACCGACTTAGGGGGCTGCCTCCCCTTTACCCACTAAGGGGGCTGCCCCAGCTCTCCTTATGTCAGAGCCCAGGTCTCCCCAAAGGGAGAGTAATGAGCAGTCATCAGCTAGCGGGCTCGCAGGCAGCGTTTTGCAGGTCGCAGTGCGATTACACGCCTTACTTGAGCTCCCTTACAGGATAATGGAGGCCCTGCCTTTAGCAGGGCGAGGCTGAGGGAGGATCAGCCCAGCCTTCCCCATCTGGGCCAGGGAGCTTCCTTCAGTGGCATTTAGGATTCTTGGCCTCAGTGGTGACTCCTCAGAAACAGGTTTTATTATCTCTTGGCAGCAGGGGTTGCAACTGAGAAACGTGCAAGGTGGGGGATAATTGGATCTTGTGGCTCACGCCTGTAATCCCAGCACTTTGGGAGGCCGAGGTGGGTAGATCACCTGAGGTCAAGAGTTTGAGACCAGCCTGACCAACATGACGAAACCCCATCTCTACTAAAAATACAGAATTAGTCGGGTGTGGTGGTGTGCACCTGTAATTCCAGCTACTCTGGAGGCTGAGGCAGGAGAATTGCTTGAACCCGGGAGGCAGAGGTTGCACTGAGCCAAGATCAAGCCACTGCACTCCATCCTGGGCGACAGAACAAGACTCTGTCTCAAAAAAAAAAAAAAAAAAATTCCTTATCGCATTTGATCTGCTTTACAGCGGATCAAAGATTGAAGAAAGATTGTACTCCTGTGTCGTGGCTCCAACACTGAGGCTGAGATGGGAGTAAGTGCCATACGGCCCACACAGCTAGTTAGCGGCCCACACAGCTAGTTAGCGGCCCACACAGCTAGTTAGTGGCAGAACTGCCTCCACTTGGCCTCTGCCCCACATGCCCGAGAGACACGGGGCCGAGCAGCAGCCGGTGCAGCCGTGGTCCGTGGACTGTCCCCTGGGGGTGTGAGGGCCACCTCTGGCCGACGCTCAGGGCCTCTCTCTCTGCAATCCAGGCGCGTGCACATCTCCCAGAGCACCATGGACTGCCTGAAAGGGGAGTTTGATGTGGAGCCAGGCGATGGGGGCAGCCGCTGTGATTACCTAGAAGAGAAGGGTATTGAAACCTACCTCATCATTGCCTCCAAGCCAGAGGTGAAGAAAACAGCCACCCAGAATGGCCTCAATGGCTCGGTGAGTTCCCCACCCCACCCCACCCACCCCACCCACCCCACCCCTGGATTAGGGGGTTGGAAAGGAGGAGATTAAGGAAAGATTGCAGAAGAGGTGGCAGGACCCAGCAGTGGCTGGCTGTGAGAGGTGAGTGGCAGGCTGGCACCCTTCCCAAGGGAGAGCTGGTTTCTGGGGGAGATGGTGAGTGTAATTCATGGCAGGTTGCAATGGAGGTGACTGAAGCATATCCCAAGACCACATCCAGGAGGGGGCCGCTGGAGATGTGTCGGTGGCGCCCAGGAGAGCAGCTGGGTTGGGGCTCAGGGTCTCCTGCATGGAGGAAGTGAGTGAAGCCACAGGAGTGACGTGGATGCTCAGGGAGAGGCTCAGAGAGGAGGGTGGGGGTGGGGTGACTGGTCATGGGGGAGGAGGACCAAGGCCAGGAAGGTTTCCTGAGTGGGAAATGAGGGAGGAATGAGATAGAAGTAATAGAGCAGGGGTGTCTAATCTTTCGGCTTCCCTGGGCCACATTGGAAGAAGAAGAATTGTCTCGGGCCAAACAAAAAATACTGTGGGTTGAACAAGCTTGCAATCGTGCATCCTGTGGGCCTGCCCTCTGGTCTTTTTGTGGGATCCCCCGAATATCTACAGACCTGAAGCACTCAGCAGCTTCCCCAGGTCTGTCCACCAACCCCCAAACACCTCCTGTCAGTCTGATTAGAAACCACCAGCAGCTGTTGCAGAAATGGATCCCTTTACCATCCCCTGCTGAATCTGGAGGTTGTCTTATTTTTTGTAATCTCATGTCAAAACCCTTTCCTCCAGTTATGAGAGTCCATCTAACAAGACTTGGAATTAAGGAGCTTGGTGACTGTCAGGGAAGTCGTGTCATTTGAGACTGCTCTATGGCTGAGGCTTTGCCTAATTATGGCTAAAGCAAAGCCCACTCTGGTGAGGCTGCCGGAGTGAAGGCTGATACTCCCCGCTGATTCTAACCTCGATGTCAGTCTCATCCAGTGTCATTTTAAAGGCTGTCTCTGACAACTCCCAAATTTGTATCTCCACCCCCAGTGTCTTCCCTGCACTCAACATACAGCCACTTGTACGTCTCCATTTGTACATATAATAGGTATCTTAAATGCCACCTGCCCAAAGCTCCTGCCCTCCTTCCCACTCCATAACCTGCTCTCCCTCGGTCTTCCCATCTCAGTTAATGGCAGTTCCATCCTTTTATTAACAACTGCTCAGACCAAAAAGTTTGAAATCATCCTTGACGCCTCACTTTGCAATCCACAAGCAAGTTCTGTGGCCTCAGATTGCTCTCTAATCCCACCGCCTCCCACGCCCTTGTCACTTCCAGACCTGTCCACGCCACTCTCATCCCATGCCCAGATCATGGCTGAGCTCTCCTTTCCTCTAGGCCCTGCCCAATGGAGCACCAGCTTCCTCAAAGTCCAGCTCCCCTGCCCTCATTGAGACCAAGGAGCCCAACGGGAGTGCCCACAGCAGTGGGTCCACGTCGGAGAAGCCCGAGGAGCAGGATGCCCAGGTATGTGCAGGGCTCAGGGCAGGGGGTCACTGAGGGCCAGATGCGGGCAGGCACCAGGAAGCAATACGTTCCTGCAGCAGGAGTCCTGTGCTGGGGAGACCTGGCCACCACCCAGGACCTGCTCCTGCTTAGCACTGTAACCATGGACAGGTCACCCCTCCAGCCCCGCAAAACCCCACTGTCTCCTCATCAGTTACATGCCGGGGTGAGTAAGGTCAAAAGAGGTGCTTAGCTCGGAGGCCTTTGTAGCTCTGATGGCCCGGAATCCTGTAGATTTGAGATCAGTGAGGACATCCATGGAAAATTATATAGGATCTGAGACCATTTTGGAAGTGAGATATCAGACCTGGACTCACCCCTCTGGCTAGGTTCAAGCCCCACAAGTTCCATGCAAGATGGGATATTTCCTTAGCCCCCAAAGGCGAGGAATTAGCATGCTGTCCCAGAGTGCAGGGTGCCTCTTGGGGAGCACCCAGAACTGGTCCCTGACCGCAGGGCGTCTGGAGCACGTTCACTGATGGAGGTCAGTGCTGCAGAGATGGGATGTCTGCCCTGCTCGGGCTCACCGCGTGAGGGGGACAGGAGAGCTGGCCCTGGTGCCATTAGAGCAGATGCCGTAGAACAAGAGGGTAGATGGGGCTCAGGGTAAATTAGGTTTTTCTTGAGTCCCCCAACATTCAGTAACTTTTCCTTGTTGCAGTTTTCTTGATAGAAAGTGGGGGTCCAGACTCAGGGCACTCACTAGCAAGGAGGACACAGATGCAGCTTTAGCAGCCTGATTTTTCGGGCCCTGACCCTCAGCCAGGGCCACGCTGCTCCCGGATCTGCTTCAGGAACAGGTTCCCGCTGCTGCCACAGACCATCCACGTGATTTTACAGAAGGGGAAGATGTGGCTGGGGAAACATTATCTGGGGTCAAACTGTCAACCAGTGGCACACCTGTGCCTGTGCTTAAGACCAGGGAGTCTTTTTTTTTTTTTTTTGAGATGGAGTCACGCTGTCACCCAGGCTGGAGTGCAGTGGCGCGATCTTGGCTCACTGCAACCTCTGCCTCCCGGGTGCAAGAGATTCTCCTGCCTCAGCCTCCCAAGTAGCTGTGATTACAGGCGTGTACCACCATGCCTGGCTAATTTTTGTATTTTTAGTAAAGATGGAGTTTCACTATGTTGGCCAGTCTGGTCTCAAACTCCTGACCTCAAGTGATCCACCCACCTCAGCCTCCCAGAGTGCTGGGATGACAGGCGTGAGTCACCGTGCCCGGCCCCAGGGAGTCGTGACTGTGGCTCCCAGATGCACTGTTGAACCCGTTCAGACAGCTCTCAGCCCGTCTCAGTGACTATTCAGACTGATGGCTGTGTCATCACAGCCAGGATTCCTGTTTTTGGAGTTGATGCTTTTTCTTTGGAACTGGGAATAAAAGGGTAGTGGGTGCCCCAGCTCCACCTACCCGCCCCTTGTCAGCCCTCTAGTGATGAGGACATTCTTCTCTCTCCCATCACTTTCCCCCTCAGATCTTCCTTTCCAAATGAGCCAGATGTGAGTTCCTTTAACAGTTCCCTGAAGCCCTAGAGTTGGGAGCCATTCATGTCCCCAGGCTGCCAATGTATATGGCCCCCACATCAATACAGCAGGAAGTGCCAGGACTGCCTCAGCCCAGCAGCTGTCTCCGATTACAGGTCTCCTGCTCAGGAGCCAGGGGCTGCTCCCTACAATGCTGTCATTAGCGGACCCTCCCTGCAGAGCTCTGGGTGGGGGGCCCGGGGAGCCAGGAAAGACTGGAGCTTTGGGTGTAGATCCAGGCCACATGGAGCCACGTGGGAGCATGGGGAAGACTTCCCGGAAAGGGATTTTAGAGCTGGAGGGATTGGTCCTCCGAGTATGCCCTCTTTTGTTCCTTTCCTCCTCCACCTCTGTCTTTCCCAGCTCTTCCCCACCACTCTGTCCCATCTGCCCCACTCACGCTGCCTCCCTGGCTCACAGGCCGACAACCCCTCATTCCCCAACCCACGCCGGAGGCTGCGCCTGCAGGACCTGGCTGACCGAGTGGTGGATGCCTCTGAAGATGAGCACGAGCTCAACCAGCTGCTCAACGAGGCCCTGCTTGAGCGAGAGTCCGCCCAAGTGTAAGCGCCACCCGGAAGCGTCCAGGCCCACCACTCCTCCCGGGCCCTGACAAGGGATTCAGGAAACTGAGCATCCCAAATACGGCCCCCCTGCTAGGCCAAGGCAGATGTGGCATTTGGGATTCATGGGGCTTGTTCCCACTGCAGAGTAAAGAAGAGAAACACCTTCCTCTTGTCCATGCGGTTCATGGACCCCGAGATGGAAACCCGCTACTCGGTGGAGAAGGAGAAGCAGAGTGGGGCTGCCTTCAGCTGCTCCTGCGTCGTCCTGCTCTGCACGGCCCTGGTCGAGATACTCATCGACCCCTGGTGAGGGAGGGGCCGGGGAGGGCCACGAGTTTCCTCGGCTGCGGTGGTGCCGGGCGGGGGGCGGGGGCAGGTGTCTCAGCGGGAGCCTGACATTGGGGAGCAAGCCAGTCTCTGCTCCCTGACCCCCACTGGGACGGCCCCCACAGGCCCCAGGAGTGCTAGACGGCACCCTGGGCATCCTTCCTTTTCCCTGCCCCGCGTTTTGGAGCAGTCCTAGCGTCAGAATGGGGATCTGGCCAGGATCAAGAGAGCTGAGGGACAGAGGCCTCCAGAAGGCTGGAGACCTTGGCTAGATGGGCCCACACTGATTCTTGGGACAAAGATGGGGACACTGCGTCAGTCTCAGTCACCAAGGCTGACCTGGCCCCTCTCTTGGCTCATCTTGGTAAAGATAGATTTTAGGCTGTGGGCACAGACTGACGCCCTCTCTAACGCAGCAGTAGGTCCTCCAGGGCAAGGTGTGGCCTCCTGGAGTCCCCAGCTGGTGAAGCCCTGTCTGAGGGTGACGACCACTCTCTTGTTCTCCCTTTCTCCCCTCGGCCAATCGGGGATTCCCCGTCACAGAGGAGGGGTCTGGAACCCTGCTGGGATTACAGTTTGTCAGGAGCCTTGGGCTGGGTCACACTATCTAAGGTTGCGGGTGTGTGACCACGTGCAGGCCACTGCAGGCTCCGGCAGCATCTGTTTCCTCATCTGTGAAATGAGGAGAACAACCCCTGCCCTAGCGGACACTCACGACTGTGGTGAGGCTCAAATTCACTCATTCCATAAGTATTGATTGGTTGTCTGCTTCATGCGTGGGGATCAAGGGCTGGGGCTATGGCAGCGATGCGGCACACAGAAACCCCTGCTCTCGTGAAACTTGGGTTCTGGTAGGGGAAGCTACAGGCAAAAGCAATTAAACAATTAAAATATGCATCCATGCGAGAGTAAGTACTGCAGACACAGGGAAGGCAAGGAAGGGAGGCGGGTATGCTGCTGGGGAGCTTTGTTTTGTTTTGTTTGCATTTTGATGTGGGATGGTCAGAGCAGGACTTGCTGGCAGGATAATATTTCAGTAACGCCTGGAAGCGGGTGAGGGGCGAGCCTTCTCCTATCTGGGGGACACCTGCTTCGGATAGAGGTGCTGAGGCTGGAGTGGCCTGGCCCCTGGAGGCACAGTGAGGAGGCATCGCATTGGGAACGGGCCACAGGAAGAGTAGCAGGAGTCCAGCACAGACGTGGGGCCTCCTACACGCCACTGCAGGGTGCCAGCTTCCACTCTTAACACAGGAGGCCGCCAGAACAAGGGAGCAGAGGAGTCCCCTGTTGTGACATATGCCTGGAGAGGCTCACTCCTGCTGAGAACAGCGCTTAGTGAGCACAGCGGGAGCAGTGAGACCAAATAGCGGCCCAGACAAGCCACTGTGGTGGCCAGGCCAGGCCGAGGATAGAGGAGGATCAGTGGTTGGATTCCGTCGATAGATGCTGAATGTATTTTGGAGACAGAGCTGACAGGATTTGCTGGCAGATTGGTTGTGGGGCGTGAGTGTGGAGTTGAGGATGTCTCCTGGGCTTCTGATCTGAGCAACTGGCAGGACGGGGGTGCCGTTAACCAAGATGGGGACAAGGTGGAAAGATGAGAGTGGAGAGGCAAAGATCAGGAGTTTGCTTTGGGACACGTGAAGTTTGCAGTGCCCACAAGCCAAGGAGGCCAGCATCCATGATCTGGAGTTTGGAGGGCGGGTGGGGTTGGAGACGTGAACCTGGCATCACCAGCATGCAGGCTGTGCTGCAACACGAGACTTGCTGAGCTCAAGGCAGCGTGTCCAGATGCAGAGACAGAAAAGGACTCAAGAAACCAAGCGAGAAAAGTGTCTCAAGGAGGGGTGAGAGGTGACTGAAAATGGGACATGGATTTAGCTACCAGGAGGCTTCTGGGGCTCTTGGCAAGGACACCTTCCAGGGAGGGGTTAAACGGGAATGGGTGTGAGCAGAGGGTATAGAGAACAGGTTTCCGGGAGTTGTCAGGTTAAGGTGGATGTGTTGAGTGTGTCCACTGTGAAGCTGGGGGTGGCTGTCACAGGCAGACTCTTAGCCCCCGGCAGCGAGGGAGTGATGCTGCTCCGTGCTCTGTCCTTTCAGCACAGCGACATGGCAGGGGTGCATTCCTAAGATCCCTGCCCAAGTTTATCCTGGGCTGTGCCCAGGCCACCTGTGAGTTGTTCCCTCTCTGGGAAATGTCCCAGGCAGCAGCTGCAGCTGGAGAGTGGCCCGCTCCCAGGCCGGCACTCAGCTGGCGGCCCGTCTCATCAGGGCCTTTGTCCTGTTCTGCACGGCAGGCAGCAGCAATTCCCTGGCACCGCGTGGAGCTGTACAGGCTCGTGCTGTGCTGAGAGGCCTCCCCGTCCCCTGCCCCCGGCCCCTGTCCCCTGCCCCCTGCCCCCTTCCCCCGGTCCTTGTCTGCTGGCCCCTGCCCCCGGTCCCTGTCTGCTGGCCCCTGCCCCCGGCCCCTGCCCCCAGTCCCTGTCCGCTGCCCCCTGGCCCCTGCCCCTGTCTGCTGTCCCCTGGCCACTGTCCGCTGTCCCCTGGCCCCTGTCCGCTGTCCCCTGCCCCCTGGCCCCTGTCCACTGTCCCCTGCCCCCTGTCCGCTGTCCCCTGGCCCCTGCCCCCATCCCCGTCCCTTCCTCTCCTAGCCCCTCACCCCATCTCACTGTCCCCTCTGGCCTCTCCCAATTGTCTTCTCTCTGTCACAGGCTAATGACAAACTATGTGACCTTCATGGTGGGGGAGATTCTGCTCCTCATCCTGACCATCTGCTCCCTGGCTGCCATCTTTCCCCGGGTAAGAGGCACTTTTCTACTGAGCTCAGAAGCCTCTGGAAGTGAGTGGCACTCCCTGTAAAACTGGGCAGTGATGGAGTTATTCTTTCTGTCAAATCTGACAGGCAGACACTCCTCTGTTAGGACGGTCCAGGCACTTGCCCATCCATTCATTCACCATCAGCAGAGCACTCCCTCTGGCTGGGCCACCAGGCTGTGGCAGGCTGTGGTGGGCCACGGCTGGGCCGTGGTGGGCCTTGTTGGGCCGTGGCGCTGCAGCACGTATGAGTACGGCAGAGTCTGGGTAAACAAGAACCTGGGTAGAGAGGAAGTGGAGGGCCGGCTGGAAGGTGGGTTGGCCCCGATGGTGAAGGCCCTTAGAAGCCAGACTAAAGGGATTAAAACTTTCTCCTGTAAGGCACTGAGGTACCAAGCAGAGTTTTTTTTTTTTTTAATCAGAATGACAAAGGTAAAGCAGTGTTTAGGAACATAAATCTGACAGGTGGCTCGCCAGGTCACTTGGAGCCAGGATAGGCAGGAGTAGCTGGCCAGAGACGAGCAGCCCTGAAAACTGTTCCTGCCCTGGCCTCACCTCGTCACCACGTCTGCTGTGGAAAGGGCTGCGACCTGGAGGCTGTGCTGTTGAACAGGCACATCGAGGAGGTCCAACACAGCGTCAGAACTCCCACGCCCTCTTCTCAGCTCTGCCCCTTGGTCAGCTGTCAGGTGACTCCCAGGCAGAGTCCGTTTTGAGGCTCCTGGGACTGGAATACGGGACCAGCCTGAGTTGCTGTCAGTCACGTCGCAGGAGAAAGGACTGGCAAAGGCTCATGGCCCTTGAAATTCTGTTCCTTCTAGGCCTTTCCTAAGAAGCTTGTGGCCTTCTCAACTTGGATTGACCGGACCCGCTGGGCCAGGAACACCTGGGCCATGCTCGCCATCTTCATCCTGGTGATGGCAAATGTCGTGGACATGGTGAGCTCCTGCTGTCCTTGTTGAAGGGACGCCCCTGTTCTCAGTGGAGAAGGGCTTCTGTTTGGGTCACACAAGCAGTTTCTCAGTCCATCCCTCCACCGTCATGTAGCTTTGGAGTGGCTCTTAGGTTCCCAAACACATCATCCCCACCTAGTGGAAGGAGTCTTGTCCCTGTCATCCAGGGAGCCTCTGGGATGGACTTGTTTCCTTGAAGCTCCTCTCCCAGAGTCCGAGAGCACAGTTCCATGTGCCCAGGCCTGTGCTAGGTACCTTATGTATGTTGATTCATTTAATCTGTGAAAAAGTCCTGAGCAGTTGTACCAGTATCTGCAGTTTCATAGGGAGAAACTAACTCTCAAAAAGGGTAATTGGTTGGGCGCGGTAGCTCACGCCTGTAATCCCAGCACTTTGGGAGGCCAAGGTGGGCGGATCACGAGGTCAGGAGTTCGAAACCAGCCTGGCCAACATGGTGAAACCCCATCTGTACTAAAAATACAAAAATTAGCCAGGCATGGTGGTGCACACCTGTAATCCCAGCTACTTGGGAGGCTGAAGCAGGAGAATCGCTTGAACCCAGGAGGCGGAGGTTGCAGTGAGCCGAGATTGAGCCGCTGCACTCCAGCCTAGGCGACAGCAAGACTCCGTCTCAAAAAAAAAAAAAAAAGGTAATTCACTTGCTCTAGGTCACACAGCCAGGAAGTGACAGAGTCCAGAATGGAGGCAGTTCTAAGTCCCAGTCCTGTGTATTCTTCCTCCCTGAGGGGGCAGCCAAATGCTTTCTTGGGGAAAAGGGACAGGAGTTGGGAGCCCAGATCTATTGGTTTAGAACCACTGGGCACGTATTGAGCACTACATGCCTGGAGCTGTCATCAGTGTTCTCTTGTCAGTTGTCACGGCCTCCTCTAATTGTGGTAGTACCATATACACTATCTTCCTTTTTTTTCAAATATAATGTTATTGTTGTACTTTAACAATTGGAGCACACGGTGCCGGGCGCAGTGGCTCACGCCTGTAATCCCAGCACTTTGGGAGGCCAAGGCGGGCGGATCACGAGGTCAGGAGATCGAAATCATCCTGGCTAACACAGTTGAAACCCCGTCTCTACTAAAAATACAAAAAAATTAGCCGGGCGTGGTGGCAGGCGCCTGTAGTCCCAGCTACTCAGGAGGCTGAGGCAGGAGAATGGCGTGAACCCGGGAGGTGGAGCTTGCAGTGAGCCGAGATTGTGCACTGCACTCCAGCCTGGCAACAGAGTGAGACTTTGTCTCAAAAAAAAAAAAAAAAAAAAAAAAAAAATTGGAGCACACAAATACAACCAACATGGAGACTTATTCTGCCAGTGGTATAAGTGAAAAAGCTCCAGGGCTGCAGCTAATCAGAAGTCCAGTGGGGGGCCGGGCGCGGTGGCTCACACTTGTAATTCCAGCACTTTGGGAGGCTGAGGCAGGCAGATCACTTGAGGTCAGGAGTTTGAGACCAGCCTGGCCAAGATGGTGAAACCCCGTCTCTACTAAAAATACAAAAATTAGCCAGCCACAATGGCACGAGCCTGTAATTCCAGCTACTTGGGCAGCTGAGGCAGGAGAATCGCTTGAACCTGGGAGGTGGAGGTTGCAGTGAGCCAAGAATGCACCACTGCACGCCAGTCTGGGCGACAGAGCGAGACTCCATCTCAAAAAAAAAAAAGAAAAAAAAGAATAAGTCTACTGGGAATGAGGAGTTAGGGGCTCCAGAGCCTACCTTGGCCAGGGGTTGCTGGTGCCCACTACCCAGGGAAGAGAAGCCCCAGGCCCCCTGCATGTCACAACATGCCTGGAACCTGGCACCCAGGTGTGGAGGTCACCACTGCATGGGGTCCTGGACACTGTACAGGACACCTGGAGATGCTGTCACTCATGGAGGGGTAAAAAGCTAGGGAGGTGTAACAACTGCTCATGCTAGAATGACATGGCGGGAATCGCGCAAGCAAGACAAGGTTGCCCTGTGGGTGAAAGTTACAAAAAGGGGGGGTTGATTCCGGTTCTGGATGCGCTTTCTCCCGGCCGCATCTGCCCAGTAGCAGAACCAGTAAAGAATCCAGAAGGCAGTGAACATCCCCCCAATGGAAGGATTTGGGCAGAGACTAGCTGTCATCACGGGGAGGCTGTGAGTGGGGCTCATGGTCCCGTGGCCCCTCCTGAAGCAACAGTGTGATATGGGGAAGAACATGTTGGATTTGAAGCCTAAAGACTTGGCTCCTACTTTTGGCTTTTCTGCTTGCTAATTGTGTTTGGGCAAATCTGGCCCGAGTTTTCTGTACAATAGGGACAGTACTAAAAATACTCGAGAGAGTTTTTGTGAATGTCAAATGAGGCAACGGCGAGGCTCTTAGCTGCAGTTACTAACTTTCATATGATTAGTCCCTGGTAAATTTCCCCATCTTTCCCGGTATTTCTGGGGGAGCCGCGGGAGGTGGCAGCTGAGCGTGCACTACCATGCACAGCCCTCTGTGACCAGCACCTGCTGTTCTCTTGAACGTGTGTCCCTGCCCGCCGTCCTGGCCTCCAGCTCAGCTGTCTCCAGTACTACACGGGACCCAGCAATGCAACGGCAGGGATGGAAACGGAGGGCAGCTGCCTGGAGAACCCCAAGTATTACAACTATGTGGCCGTGCTGTCCCTCATCGCCACCATCATGCTGGTGCAGGTCAGCCACATGGTGAAGCTCACGCTCATGCTGCTCGTCGCAGGCGCCGTGGCCACCATCAACCTCTATGCCTGGCGTCCCGTCTTTGATGAATACGACCACAAGCGTTTTCGGGAGCACGAGTAAGATGAAGCGTGACTGGGGATCTGTATTGTCTCCTTCCTCCCGCCCGCAAAGTCCTCAGTTCAAGCTCATGGGCCTGTGCTGAGGTGGCTTTCTGCCACTAGGGGTCCTCAAAGGCTTGTTCAAGAACCAGTTCCTGGCTGCTCACAGACGTATCACTGTTTGGCTAGGACCTGAGAATAGATTCTTCCCATTCTCCCCGAGTGGAGGACTTGGGATACCCCGGTGCCTGGCTGGGCATCAGGCTCTTGTTCCCAGATGGGGCCTGACTGTGCTGTTATCTGTCCAACAGCTTACCTATGGTGGCCTTAGAGCAGATGCAAGGATTCAACCCTGGGCTCAATGGCACTGACAGGTAAGGGCCACGGCTTCCCCTCCTGGCCTGCACTCACAGCCCTTCTTCTAGAGACAGGAATATAACAGGCCCAAGCCCCGGGATCTCACCCTCCCGGGAGGCACGTGACCTGATACGTGCAGGTTAGAGAAGCTGGCATGGGTTCCTCCAGGAGGGCTGCAGCAGTGCAGTGAGGAGGGAAGGAAATACCAGGTGGATGGCAGCTGCATGTAACTGGCTGGCAGGACAGACAGGCAGCAGGAAAATGAGGAGGGAGGAAGACGCTTTGGATTTGGACCTGGCTTCTGAGCCTGCAGCAGGCAGTAATTCTCTGTGGGTCACAGGCAGGTCCGTTTCCATGAGTTGCAATTTCATCTCTTGAGGAGGATACTGAACCAGAAGTTCTCTAAGGTCCCTGCCAGTGCCAAGGTTTTAAAATTTTATGATTCCATGACTTGAACAGACCTTCAAGGAAGTTTAGAAATAAAAAGATGACCTAATAGAAGAGGGGTAAAACCTGCATAGCCCTTAGCAAAAGAAGAACTCTAAATGGCCACTAATAAATGGCACTCAAGTAATCAAGGAAATGCCAGTTACACCCTAGTGAGATACCATCACACACGTACCGGTCCAGATAACTCTGACAATATCAAGTACAATAGTAACTCTTACACTCCTGGTGGGAGTATGAGTTAGTACAACCGTGTTAGAAAATATTTTGATCTATTTAGTAAGGTTGAAAATAAACCTGTGTCCCAGCAATTCCACTCCTACATACACACCCACGCAGACGTGTGTATATGTGTATATATATATATACACACATCTTAGAGAAATTCATGCACATACTCATGTCCCAGGATATATGTATGAGAATGTCCAAAGTGGCACTGTTCGTAATAGACATACCCCCTCCCCCAAAACAAATGAAAACAACCCAAATGACATCAACAGGAAATGGATACATAACTGGTATATTCATGCAGTGAAATACCATACGGTAATGGAAACTAACCACAGCTCCACATAAAAATATGTATGAACAAGGTAAAAAGCCATGGTGAGATTGTACCCCAGTCCCATGGCTATGAAATCCCATCACTGATGTCTCTTGCTTCTCCAAATTCCTGCATGGTTGTAGCTACCTCTGTGATCAGTCAGGCAATGCAGTGTTTCTTAAATACCTGGGGAGCAGCCCTGATGTGAATACCAGGTGCAGCCAGGAGGGGCCAGGGGTTGCCTGGCTGTTGGAGAGGAGCCCAGTGAGTTAAGAAAATTTTACTGCCCGGGGGAGCCCGACTTGATGTGAAAGGGCCTAAGGAGCCGGGGTGAGCTCTAGGGCTGGGGTGGCAGGAAGCAGCACCATCTAGTTGGAGGGAATCAGGCCCCCTCCAGGAGGCAGATGACAGCCCTTTCAGTTGCACACGCTCTGCCCAGCAGGCTGCCCCTGGTGCCTTCCAAGTACTCTATGACGGTGATGGTGTTCCTCATGATGCTCAGCTTCTACTACTTCTCCCGCCACGTGAGTGCCGCCTGCACGATCCCCGCTCTGTGCCCACAGCCCACAGGGCCTCCTGAGAAGCAGCCCTGGGACCTAAGAGCCCAAGCTCCTAAGGAATGGGGCTTCCCTTCACCCAGCCCCACACGTGAGCCTGGTCAGGCCACCGCCTTCTCTATTCAGGCTCCTTCCTCAGTCACACAGGAAGACAGTTCCTCACCTCTTCCGTCCGACCCCCTCCAGGATGGTGAAGGAAGCATGGGAGTGAAGGTGGGAGGGGATAGAGTGAAGGCACAAACATCTTGAATCAAATCAATATCCCCTAGGCCAGGGGCTCATGGCCCCCGCACTCCCCGTGGCGCTGAGGGACATTAACACAACTGACCACAGAGCCAGAAGAGAAAGAGAAGGGAGCTGATGGACTTTCTGTTGGGTTAAAAGGAAAAGAGAAGGCCGGTGCAGTGGCTCATTTTGGGAGGCTGAGGGTGGAGGATCACTTGAGTCCAGGAGTCTGAGACCAGCCTGGGCAATATGGTGAAACCCTGTCTCTACTAAAAAATACAAAAATTAGCCAGGCATGGTGGCCCGCACCTGTAATCCCAGCTACTTGAGAGGCTGAGGCAGGAGGATTGCTTGAATCTAGGAGGTTGAGGCTGTAGTAAGCTGAGATCACACCACTGCACTCCAGCCTGGGTGACAAAGTGAGACACCCCCCCCGCACCCCCCCCCCCCCCGCCACAACCACCGCACTCAACCGGACAAAAAAGGAAAAGAGAAGGAAGAGAGGGAAGAGAAAGATCCTCTGTACTTAGGGCCCAATGTTAGTTCAAGTGCCCCCTACTGGCTTTCCAGGGAAGTACAGCCTTCCCAAGCCACTTCTTACCCAAATGGCGCCTGCTAGAAAGGGGGACTCCACCCTGAGTTGGGAGATCCCCACTGCTGCCACCTCCACGAGACAGACCTGCAGCTGAAATTAGGTCCCAAGAGGCCCCCTACACACGGAAGGCCTCCTGGATCTCTGCTGTAATTACGGAGGCTGGGAACCGCACCACTATTGGGTGGCCTTTTGATGAGGTGCAATCTTTGCAGGGTCTTACTTCCCTTGCCATTTAGCCATCTTCCTTCCAGCCTTTCCAAGGGGAGTTCCTCCATTCACGTTCCTGTTTTTCTTCTTTTTTTGAGACTGAGTCTCACTCTTTTGCCCAGGCTGGAGTGCAGTGGTGCGATCTCGGCTCACTGCAACCTCTGCCTCCTGGGTTCAAGTTGATTCTCCTGCCTCAGCCTCCCGAGTAGCTGGGATTACAGGTGCCCGCCACCATGCCCGGCTAATTTTTGTATTTTTAGTAGAGACAGGGTTTCACCATGTTGGTCAGGCTGGTCTCGAACTCCTGACCTCAGGTGATCCGCCTGCCTCGGCCTCCCAAAGTGCTGGGATTACAGGCATGAACCGCCACGCCTGGCCATTCCTGTTTTTCATCCTTCTATCCAGTGGCCAGCTTAGAGCACATGCCTCGCCTTGTCTGTGTCTGTAGGTAGAAAAACTGGCACGGACACTTTTCTTGTGGAAGATTGAGGTCCACGACCAGAAGGAACGTGTCTATGAGATGCGACGCTGGAACGAGGCCTTGGTCACCAACATGTTGCCTGAGCACGTGGCACGCCATTTCCTGGGGTCCAAGAAGAGAGATGAGGTGAGGGGTGTGGTCTCAGCCCGGAACCATGAGGCCATTTGTCTCCATCTGTTCTTTCTTTCAGGCAGCCCCCGCTGGGCCCAGGCCTTCTCAGGGACAGGGGACTGGGGCCTAGGTAGGGCTGAACCTAAACAGCAAACACAAATAAGCAAAAGAGGAATTTCTCCGGCCTCTTATAAAGTGCACTGCTGTAGGCATCGTGATGTGGGCCGTACAGCTCTGAGGCCATGTGTCAGAAGACAAGACTTTGGCTAGAGCCCACCTTTCTGTTGCCTGTGAACTTCTCCAAACAGAGTGGTTCCCAGCTCTACGGTACCCTCGTCTTCACAGCTGGGGCTGTTAGAGGAACTAGAGAAGCTGTTTTAAAATTTATTCAAAGTAGTGGCCGGGCACAGTGGCTCATGCCTGTAATCCCGGCACTTTGGGAGGCCGAGGCGGGTGGATCATCTGAGGTCAGGAGTTTGAGACCAGCCTGGGCAACAAATAGTGAAACCCTGTCTCTACTAAAAAATACAAAAATTAACTGGACGCGGTGGTGCACACCTGTCGTCCCAGCTACTCGGGAAACTGAGACAGGAGACTCACTTGAACCCGGGAGGTGGAGGTTGCAGTGAGCTGAGATTGTGCCACTCAACTCCAGCCTGGGTGACACAGCAAGACTCCATCTCTCAAAAAAAAAAAAAAAAAGTAGCGATGAGCTATTTTTAAATTATTCAGAGTTGGAATAATCTACAGCCGGGCATGGTGACATGTGTCTGTGGTCCCAGATACCTGGTGTTCAAGGCCGCAGTGTGCTTCGATCATACCTAATTGTGCTTGTTTACTGCCACTGCACTCCAGCCTGGGAAACACAGCAAGACCCACTCTTAAAAAAAAAAAAAAAAATGCTGGAATAATCTGACTGATGTGTGAGTCCAAAAAGCTGAGTGCACATGTCATGCATGGAAGATAGATGCATTTCTCCAACACATCATCCAGTCAGTCGGACATGCTTTGAGCACGTTGTCCGCACCTCTTTTTAGGAGCTGTATAGCCAGACGTATGATGAGATTGGAGTCATGTTTGCCTCCCTGCCCAACTTTGCTGACTTCTACACAGAGGAGAGCATCAACAATGGTGGTATTGAGTGTCTGCGTTTCCTCAATGAAATCATCTCAGATTTTGACTCTGTGAGTGCCCATCCCACCCTGCACTCTGGCCATGAAGCCGGCCCATTCCACATCACATCCTACAATAGGCTGCAGAGGCCAGAGAAACTGGCTTCATTTTCCCAGATAAGCCCCTTCCGCAATACATGGACTTCTGCAGCCACCTGGAACTGCTGGGCTGGGGAAGGGGAGGTGAGGTGGGAGCCCGGGAAATCACCCACAGGGTCACAGGATAAGGATAAGGACTGGCCAAGCAACATCTCGAGACCTCTCTGTCCTGGGACTGTCTCCTCAAATTCAGAGCCGGTCAGCATTGACTGGGTGACCTGTATACCAGGGAGAATGCTTTTACACACGCGCGGAGCCCCCCTAGGAGACTGCCGATTTTATGTCAGTGTTGAGGTTGTGGAAACAGGCCCAGAAAGTTAGGAAGTTCTCCCAGGATCATGTGGCAGATAAGCGGTAGACTAAGTAACAACTTTGATAGGAAAGTGTCTCTTGGGTTTAGTGGGGTCCTTGTAAACAGGTACATCTGTCACTGGGTTGGGTCATTCCTCTCCCTTGACTGCTGACAATTCTTTCCTGAATCCTGGCCTCAGCTCCTGGACAATCCCAAGTTCCGGGTGATCACCAAGATCAAAACCATTGGCAGCACGTATATGGCGGCTTCAGGAGTCACCCCCGATGTCAACACCAATGGCTTTGCCAGCTCCAACAAGGTAGCTAACCCCAGTAGCCAGAGAGATGAGGCTCTGCCCCCAAGGCAAGAGATTGGCAGCCCAGACCTAGCATGGGGGAAATAAGAACTGCTGTGCAAAGTGGTCCCAGACACACACCACCAGCACCACGTAAATATAAATAAGAAATAGGGTTTATTGAGAAAGTTCGGCAAGCAGAGAAACAGAACAGACACACAACCCCCTGCTGTTCACAGCTCAGGCCTAAGATGGTTGTGTTCTGTGGCCAGGCCCCCTAAGGCTCTGTGCTTTCATAGGAACTGGAGAGCAATTGTCAACAAGGGAAACTGAAAGCATGGCCTTCAGAACTCTGGCTGACGGCAGCCTGTTCTTTTGTTAAGCTAATTTAGACCTTTGTTCAGCTACCAGGAGAGAAAATTAGGTGTAGGAGCCCTGGTCCCAAGCTCTGGTCTTAAAACACCATCATCCTGCTTTACCTCTACAACCATCCCACGGCCCTATTATATGGATGAGGTTAAAGAAACACGTCCAAGGCGGGTCATCCCCCTCCAGTGCTTATCACCTAGTTGAGGGATCCAAACAAGGACAACCTGACAAAACCTAAGGACCAGGACCAGGCCCAGCCAAGGTGAAGGGGTCCGCCTCGTGGTCAGACTCACAGGTCCGTCTCCTCTGCTCAATTGCCCAGTCTTTGCCTAGACCTGCTACGTGAACTTTGTCACAGTGGCAAGTCAGAGCTAGCGTGGCTGCGACTCCTTTGTGGGAGGAAAAGTAAGGCCTTGAACATCTAGGTGTAGGGAATCCACCCCCAGAACACTGCCAGGGAAGGCAGCAGAGCAGGCTGCTGCAGTGAGCGGCCCCTGACACTTTCTCCACGGTCCCCTGGCACAGGAAGACAAGTCCGAGAGAGAGCGCTGGCAGCACCTGGCTGACCTGGCCGACTTCGCGCTGGCCATGAAGGATACGCTCACCAACATCAACAACCAGTCCTTCAATAACTTCATGCTGCGCATAGGTGAGCACCCCCAGCTGGCCTGCCCCGCAGCAGGCTCCCTTCCCATGCAGGGGCCTGGCCCACCACCAGGAGAGACATGAGGCTCAGGACAACTGAGGCAATTCGGGTGGGGAGGTTCACGCACTCACAGGGCAAGGAGACCTGAAAGACCTTTAGTCCAGACGACTCTAGATGACTAAACCAAAAACCCAGCTGATGTGATGATCCGACTATACTGTGCCTACTGTTACAATAGAAGCTTGGCCTGCCTGGCTGAGAAGTGAGTTTGTGATCCATTTCCAGAGGGGTTGCTGTGCCTGCTGAGGACATGGCTTCCCAGACAGGCCTGCTCTTTGAAAGGAGTTAAGATCACCTGCTGCTTCTACTGAGGGGGTATCATTCCTGAGTGAGGTCCCAGGAGACTTGAAATACCAGCTGTGTTAGAAGCTGGCCACTACCATGCCGAGTAAATCTGCATATGGGGGGGGGGTGGCGGCTGACACCTAACAAGCACACGGATAAACAGGAGATGTGATTTCCACCCTCCAATAGCATACAGCCAAGTTGAATGAGGACAATGATGTGTTACATTAGGAGCTTTGTGGTACAGGTCTGGAGAGGAGATGGCTTCTGAGGCCCATAACAAGGTGTGGCCTGTGGCTGTGCTGAACTTTATGCCTCTACCCTAGGCATGAACAAAGGCGGGGTTCTGGCTGGGGTCATCGGAGCCCGGAAACCACACTACGACATCTGGGGCAATACAGTCAATGTAGCCAGCAGGATGGAGTCCACGGGGGTCATGGGCAACATTCAGGTATGTCCAGTGGCACAGCTGGCACGTGCTCAGACTCGGCATGAGAACAAAACCGGAACAGTGCTTTCCCACGTGCCCCTGCCTCCCACCCTGGCCCTGAACAGTAAGTCCAGAGGCAGAGACGTGGGGCAAGTGGAAAAGAATCTCTGCAATAGCTAGCCTCAGCACAGGAAGAAACACTTCCACCCATCCACAAAATCTGGGCTGAAGTTCTAGATGCATATGGCCTACCTTTGGGTATGAACCTTCTAATACCTTGTGATCTGTCTCAGTGGCGTCTGGCAGAAAAGCTCCACGAAAGGGGCAAAGGGACAGAAGAGCAGGCAGTGGCAGTTTCCAGGTAACAGTGCTGCCACCCAGGTGACCATGGCCATCCTAGGAGAGAAGTCTCTGGATGAGAGGAGGCCCCCAGCCAGTCACTCCAGGGTTCTCCTTCCCACCCGCTGCTCGCCACGGGTGGAAGGGCTTGGCCCTGGGAGGTTTGGGGAGTGTCCCGTACTGCTTGGGACCCATGGATCAGTGCTCGGCTCCAACCACCCAAAGCCCCCACCCGCCCTCAGTCTAGGCTCCCCCCGTAACGCCACGTTCTTGCTCCCCCTCCCTCTCCAGGTGGTAGAAGAAACCCAAGTCATCCTCCGAGAGTACGGCTTCCGCTTTGTGAGGCGAGGCCCCATCTTTGTGAAGGGGAAGGGGGAGCTGCTGACCTTCTTCTTGAAGGGGCGGGATAAGCTAGCCACCTTCCCCAATGGCCCCTCTGTCACACTGCCCCACCAGGTGGTGGACAACTCCTGAATGGCCTCGAGCCTGCAACAGTCCAAACCGGAAGGGAGAATTTATTTTTTGAAACTGAAGGAAGTCCCGACCTTCCTGGATTGAAGTGCACACTCATGGACTTTAGGTTTAGAAACCTCCTCAGCCTTCATTTGTTCGTGGATGTGTGAGCTCTGAGGGTGGCCCTGCTATTCCTGTGTGTGCCTGTAGTGTCCCCAGCATAGGGGTCTTAGGCATAGGGCTGAACAGTCCTTCCAGAGCCCTCGTTCCAATCCCTGCCGTCCTTGCCCCTGAGGGGCCCTGACCACTGTGAGCAGGAGGGTGGCAGAGCTGGGACAAAGCTGCCTTTGCCGCTGGGCTTTCCGGGACTGTGGAGGGAGCACAGGCGGGGAAGCTCCACTTCAGACAGGGCTTGGTGGGGCAGGACATGGCTCCCATTTTGAAGGGAGGTCTCCATGTGGTCCGAGTGAGGTGAGACGGCCCTCGTCCTGGTGTTCCTGATCATCTTGAAAGGTTCTTCTGGAACTCCTGTCCCCTTAGTCATGAGAACAGAAAGTGCAATATTTCCTTTCACCTGGCAGGGGAGGGGGGATTTATTTCTGAAAGAAAAATATATAAACAGATCTTCTACATTTATATTTTTAATCTTCTGTTAAATACACTTTCCGATATTGCCTTGCCTTTTGAGCTCTTGCTACAGTCGCCTTTGCTACTGCTTTAAGAGAATTTACAGGTATTGATAAAGAACAAGACTGTTTTATTAAAAGCTTTATTCAACTTGAAAGTGATTGTGGAAATTCTGTTAATATCACTTATCTGAGGAGTGCTGGTACTTTGCTGACTCATGCCACTGGTCCCCACCACAGGCCTGGAAGGCAAGAGCTTGAAGGTCTCATCATAGCTCACTGTACCCCGGAACGCCTGCTGCCTGGCCCTGTCTCTTTTATTCTTAAACTTTCTTCTAAAGGGTACTCCAAGCTGGCTTTAATCCCCTGCACTGTTCCTGGAGCTCTCCCACACGGAGGTTACTTCGTGGCCATTGCAGGGTTAAGTCTGAACGTGGCCTTGGGCCAGTCATGACTCCTATCTGTGCCTGGGCAAGGGAGGGCTACAGGAGAACCTGGTCAGCCAGACACAGGTTTTCATATCTGTGAGTGACCCACACGCCAAGGAACCAGAGGTGCCAGCAGGTCAGAGGCCCGTGGTTACGGCAAATCAGGACACTAACCGGAGAGCCTGCAGGAGAGGGAAGACCCGGGGGGCGCCTGAGTCCCCCTGAGTTAATGGGCAGATTTCTAACTAACTAACTGTGCTTTTTCAGAGGGGACTTCCTAGTACATTCACAGCTCTACTAAACTTTTAGGAAACAAAATATGAGACACACTGAACTCTGATTATTTTATCCTACTGCTTTCTCACACCATATTTATAAAGCAGTGGCCTAGAATACACTGCGCCTAACCAAACAAACACTGAAGAACTTCCTTTTCAAAAGTTTCAAACAGGAAAATGAGGAAAAATTACTTAAAGCTTTCATAAAAGCTAAAAATACTTTCCTTTTAAAAAAAAAAAAATATTGGGTCTTCCTTATTATCTTCATTAGTGAATGTGGGTTATTTTTCCATTTATTTAGATCAGTGTTTCTCAACAGAATCAAGCTATTGCAGTTTGAGTGGAGTGCTACATTTCTGTGAGAGCCCTTTCTGAAAATTTTAGGATTTTTGGCATCTCTATTCCTGGCATTAAATTAGTAGCAGTTACTGTGACAACTTAATTGCCTGGTCTTTCCCAGAGTTAATGCCCTCAATAATTTGATATTTTTCCATAAGTACTTCTTGAGTGATACACCTTTTTCAAAAAATGGCTTTTATTGCCCCACAAATGATTTTCAACTAAAATGTATGATCAACTAATACCTTTAAAAAACATCTTGAGCATTTTAAGAAGGGACCAGGTGATCATGGGAATTGTTCAAAAATGCCAGTGTCTATACTCAAACCTGCTCTTCCATCCAGATGAACAGGTAGGTGTCTGTTTTCATCAGAAGGGTGATGTACCCTTCATCAGACAGTACTACCCACCTGGTACTGTCTTCAGTACTGGTTACTTACCTCTGATGTGCTCCCAGTGCAGTGAAAACAATCTATTAGGAGACCAGACTCATATCCAACTTTTCTCCTTTTCTTGTAAATGAGGCAAACACTTGATGCAAGGGCTTCGTACAGAACAGAGTTTCATGAGATGCTCGTTGCTCCTCCCATGAAGTGGATAATACTTCCACTCCTAAAAAGAAAGATTCCATCAATCTCATTCAGTGCAGCTGGGGGAATCGGAGCCTGGATCACTGATATTCAATCTCATTCAGTGCAGCTGGGGGAATCGGAGCCTGGATCACTGACATTCAATCTCACTCAGTGCAGCTGGGGGAATCGGAACCTGGATCACTGATATTCTGGACCCACTGGACCCATACAGCTTTTTTTTTTGGTCTGGACTAAGGCTGCCCCTTACTGGACCAATGCAATCTAGAGACTGGGGACTGGAATCTAACTGCGCAGAGAAATCAAAGACCGATGGTGTGAAATCTGGGGCAGCTTCAAAATTTCTGCCTCCTAAAAACATTTCACCCAATTTTTCATTATTGCCCATGTCACATTTAACTGAAACAGGTTCACCAAAAAATCTCTCTCTCAGCCAGTCTGGAAGGATTTCCATTTAGAGACTGCTCCGTAGGGAGGAGTAAGTGTGTGCTGACGTGTCATGTCCATTTGTCTTCACAGTGAAATGAGTCTTCTGGCTCCATCCACCATAACTGACCCATGACTCAGCCTTATCATTAGGTGTCTTTCCTGAAGCAGGGCCCCCAGTGAAAACAAATCATAGGCTGCGAGAACACTGCTGAGGTGGGTGGGCAAAGGAGAAGGGAAAATGGGGACAATCATGTTTACCATTTACAAAGAGGAAGGAAAAGACTGGTAGAAACAAGAATGTTCTATCTTACCGGTCTGAGTAATGTACAGTATATAAACAGAGAAAGTGTCTCAAGAGGTCTACTTCATGGATTCTACCTATTTTCCCTGTTTCACTCAAATAAACTGGGATATGAGAATTTCTGCACTGAGGCACCCTTCTTACCTTGACATGTCACGGTGACGTCAGTGGGAAGAGTTGCTGTGAGGTCCTTATACAGCAATCTAGCACAGAACGGGAAGGACTGACCCCCTGGATCCAGTTTGTAAGTAAATGACAGCAAGTTACACAGTGGGTTTCTCTGCAAGGGCCCAGTCAGGAGGGCTGCAAAGTCACTCTAAGAGGGGTGAGGAACAAAACGAAGTAGAGGATGACTGCAGTTCCAAAGGTGGTGTTTACTGACCCTTCAATTACGTCAACCAAAAAGAGGCCCATCGATTACATTTCAGAGAAATAAATGAGGGACAGAAAAAGGTCTGAAAAAAGGACTAATGAAAAAGATGCCTAAGATAACTAAGAGTCACTGGCAGCCTGGAAAGGCCTATAGGCCTAAATGGCCAGGGGTACAGCTTCGCAAGAGACTGTTTCTGCAGAAACTTCACTGACGTTACACGGCTAAGATGCTTCATGACTGCATCCACATTTCAATTTAAGTTAAATCTACAGCTGAGAGCTTCAGAGTTACTCCAAATCCATAGAGGGGGAAATGCTAAGCTTGTAGGAGGCACTTACAGCCTATTTGCATTAATTTCCTATCTACTTTTTTCACCCAACCTTAGCTCAACTGCAACCCAAAAAGGTAGGCTAGAGTTTAGGGGAAGATGGACAGCATTGTTCCATGGCACTGCAGAAACCTTTCTTCTCTAATGAGATCTATACCCAAGGTTCAGCAAGGCACTCGGTATGGTACATAGTAGGCACGCCATAAATCCCTGATGGATCAAAAGTATAGCAACTGCACTCTGTACAATCTTACGATAAAAGCTTGAAGACCACCATTCAGGGGTGCATAATCCTTTAACCAGTACCCAGGCTTCAACGCCATCCAGAGTTTCAAAAGAAAAGAGGGTGGGATAGTGCTTTTATATAAATAAGAAACAAGCATCGGAAAGGTAACGGTCAAACTTCTAACTCACAGTTAGGAAACACTGAAAATACAAAAAACATCCCCCTTTTAAGTTGATCTTGGGCCCACGGATGAGGCATATAACATCCCAGAGAGATACCTGAAGCCGGTCTGCCTGGTACTTCCTCCCAGAGTAAGCATTCAGGTACTCGCAGAGACTGAACAGGAAGTGCTGGATGTTGGTCTGTAAATATTTTGCAGCTATCTCTTCCAGGGGAATGAAGACTGGGACTGAATGGTGATGTATCCGGAGTGGTTTCTGTATGACAAGGTCCACAAAATAGGAATCCAATAGGTTCCCCTCAAAAGCAGTACTGATGCAGACACAAACTCCTCGGCTGGTCAGTTTACCACTGAGGCCTGAGGCAAACAAGAAGACACCTCAATAGACAGCAGGCCAAGGTGATGTCTTACTCATCTGTGCCTCCAGTAGCTTCCACAGTGCCTAGAATATGTACACTTTGTACACAAATGTTTGTTCAATGAGTATCATAGGCTCATTCTTCCCCTTGGCTCCGGCTCACTTTGAGACTGAGTTGTTAAAACCATGGAAGAATGGTAAAAATGAAAAAACAACCTAAATGTCAAACTATTGAGAAATTTTTTTTTTTTTTTTTTTGAGATAGGGTTTCACTCTGTCACCCAGGCTGGAGTGCGGTGGCACGATCTCAGCTCACTGCAACCTCAACTTCCTGGGCTTAAATGATCCTCCCATCTCAGCCTCCCAAACAGCTGGGACCACAAGCGCATGCCACCTCACCTGGCTCATTTTTAAATTTTTAGTAGAGATGAGGTCTTGCTATGTTGCCCAGGCTGGTCTCGAACTCCTGGACTCAAGTAATCCTGCCTCAGCCTCCCAAAGTGATGGGATTACAGGCATAAGCAAGGCCAAAAATTTAATTTATAGCTATTCTTTATTTCTGAGTGTGAAGTAATTTGTCAGAGTCCCCAGTTCTTCCCACAACTATCTTGTGGCATAGATGGGAGAATAAATCCCTATTTACGGTGAAACGGAGACTTGGAAAGTTCAAACTATTTCACTAGTGGCAGAAAACAAGCCAGCAGTAAAGACAGTTCTAGTACAAGGTCTGGCACATGACGAACTGTTAAGATGAGTGGAATAAGCCAGCCACCAACTGAGCTGCTGTACAAAGGGGCCAGTCAATCTTGTAGGTGAAGATAGGCCTACAAATAGCACGTCAGCTGTGTGTGTGTCTGTGTGTGTGTGTGTGTGTGAGTGATGAGGGCAGAGGGTGTAAAATACTATAAATTATGAAATAATTCCAGGACTGATAACACATCTAGCAAACTAACTCACTAGAGGCAGACCCAGACTAAATTAGGTTAAAAAAACAAACAAAACCTGTAAAATGATATGCCTGCAGAATGGCTTTCACATTTTCCAATTTCTCTTCCAATGCTTCTTGCTCATTGATCTCCACTGTTTGGTTGGGTTCTACATTGGCAATACATGCTTTCACCTGCAAGATATGCAGCAAATCAATCTTGGTACAAAGAGGTACACTACAACATCCCCGCCCTCCCCCAACTGGATGAAAGCTAAATACAAGGCACATGATATAATACATCAAGAAATGCTACAGTGGCCGGTCAGTTATTGCTATGAATTCACTGCAGAGGAAGAATCTCATGGGTCACAATGCCAGGAATCAGAAGTGGAGACTGTACAGGTCTGAAGAACAATTCGATTTTTGATGGGAATGGACAGGACTGAGAGAGCAGCAAGAAAAGGTTGTGTGGAAAGTCTAGGCTAAGCACAGGGTGGACACAACAGGTGGCTGTGAAGAGGCAAGGCTGGGTAAGTTGTGCTTGGACAGTGTGGGGTTTCAAGTGCCAGGGCTCCAAGGCTTACGCTGCTAGCTATGGCCCAGCAGAAGGTACCAGGCTGACCCGCCCTCTGAGAACAACTATGCAAGCTGGATAAAATACCAAAAAGAAACAAGCAAGCAAAGAGAGCAAATGGTTTGAAGGCATTCCAGAAGGATCCAAATAGCCAGGATTGGAGAGTACTGACAAATGCTCTGAGCTGGCTTCCCTGCAGCCTCTGGCCTCAGAGCATTTCCTTATTCATATGCAAGGCACACTGGGCCACATAGAAAGGCATAAACTAGACTCCGCAGCAGTCTCATCCGGAACAAACACTGGACATTAATGGTATCAAAGCAGACTTTCTACGGGCCAAGATTCCATAGAAACAGGAACTCAACGTTCTGCTTGCAATCTTCCCTCCCGGCATTTGCTAATTCCTAAGCTGCACAGGTGTGACTGGGGACTGAGAAACCAAACGGAAAGAAGCTGCTAAAGGGGAAAAAGCCAAGCAGAGATTTTGCTAGAACAAAATGTGGATTTCAGGGCCTGCCAGGGAACAGGAGCCTTAATAGACCCATCTCCAACACACTCCCAAACTTTCAACTGAAGGTCCTAAAAAAAGCTAAGCCCTAGGAGTAAGGGAAACCGGAAATAGACCACCTCAACTGAATAAAGGTGATGTGCCCATACACGATCTACTTGCCAGAAAAACACTAAAATTTCCTCTGGAGGAAGATAACATACTCAGAACCCATATATTTTTCCTTCTTTCTTTCTTTTTTCCAGACAGAGTTTTGCTGTTACCCAGGCTGGAGTGCAATGGCACAATCTCGGCTCACTGCAACCTCCGCCTCCCGGGTTCAAGCCATTCTCCTCCCTCAGCCTCCCGAGTAGCTGGGATTACAGGTGTGCGCCACCACGCCTCGCTAATTTTTGTATTTTTAGTAGAGACAGGGTTTCACCATGTTGGCCAGGCTGGTCTTGAACTCCTGACGTTAGATGATCCACCCGCCTTGGCCTCCCAAAGTGCTGGGATTACAGGCGTGAGCCACAGCACCTGACCTCCGTATATTTTTTCATACACAATACTCATCATTGAATTAAAAAAAAAAAAAAAAAAAAAACTACAGGCATACCAGGAAAGAGAAACAGATGACTGAAAGCCAAGAGGAAAAAGAAGACAACAGAACAGATGCCAAGGGATTCAGCTATTTCAATAATGGGGCATGGCCATTAAAACAGGCTAAAAGATGGAAACCCAGACCAAAGAGCTGGAATCTATACAGAAAAGAATGAGACGGAAATCTTAGAACCAAAAAAATACAGTAACTCAAATTAGAATTTTAATAGATTTAAAAGCCAACTAGACAAATAAGATCTTACGTGGAGTGGAAAGTAGGCATATTTTCCATATCCAGATTAAAGTACAGAGAAAAAAATAAGATTAGAAAATTACTAAGACATAGGTCACAGAAAACAAAAACAAAAACACCCATACATGGGAGCCCCAGAAATAGAGAAAAACTGAGAAGATGCACTATTTAAAGAGATATTGGCCAATGTTGTAAAACAGATGAAAAACATCAATTAAAGAAGCTTTACAAGCACCAAACAGGATAAAAAAAAAAATCATGCTTAGCCACATTGATCTAAAATTGCTAAAAACCAAAGACAAAGAAAATCTTAAGCCCGAAGAAAAAGACATATTATATTCACAAACATAAGATTAACACCTGACTAATAAGGCCAAAACTTCACACCTGACAAGATACTATGGCCCTAGAAGACAACAGAATGATATAAAGTTTGAAAGAAAATAAATTCTAATATCTAATTATATACTCACCAAATATACTCTTAAAAAATAAAAAACATAGTGAAATAAAGATGTCTTCAGTCAAACAAATATGGAGATTTTACTGCCAGCGATACCAAAAGAAGTACCAAAAGGAGCTACTTAACTGAAAGAAAATAATCGCAGATGGAAATGTGAAAATGAAGAGCACTGAAAAGGGTAAATATGTGTCTAACACTAAAGGAATGTTGACTATACGTGACAAATAAGACAATAAAATACTATGGTAGATTGAGATCCAAATAGATCAGTAATCACATTAAAAGTTCATGGACTTGCCAGGCGCGGTGGCTCACACCTGTAATTCCAGCACTTTGGGAGGCCAAAGCGGGCAGATCATGAGGTCAGGAGTTCAAGACCAGACTGGCCAACATGGTGAAACCCCGTCTCTACTAAAAATACAAAAAAATTGGCCGGGCGCAGTGGCTCACGCCTGTAATCCCAGCATTTTAGGAGGCCGAGGCAGGTGGATCACGAGGTCAGGAGATCAAGACCATCCTGGCTAACGTGGTAAAACCCCGTCTCTACTAAAAATACAAAAAACTAGCTGGGCGTGGTGGCGGGCGCCTGTAGTCCCAGCTACTCGGGAGGCTGAGGCAGGAGAATGGCATGAACCCAGGAGGTGGAACTTGCAGTGAGCCGAGACCGCACCACTGCACTCCAGCCTGGGCGACAGAGCGAGACTCCGTCTCAAAAAAAAAAACAAAAAACAAAAAACAAAAAATTAGCTGGGTGTGGTGGCGGGCATCTGTAATCCCAGCTACTCAGGAGGCTGAGGCAGGAGAATCGCTTGAATCAGGAGGCGGAGGTTGCAGTGAGCTGAGATAGTGCCACTGCACTCCAGCCTGGGTGACAGAGCGAGGCTCCGTCTCAAAAAAAAAAAAAAAAAGTTCATGGACTAAATACTCCAATTAAAAGACAAACATTGGCCAGGCATAGTGGCTCACACCTATAATCCCAGCACTTTGGCAGGCCAGGACCGGCAGATCACTTGAGGCCAGGAGTTCAAGACCAGCCTGGCCAACATGGTGAAACCCTTGTCTCTACTAAAAATACAAAAATTAGCCAGGCGTGGTGGTGCACGTCTGTAATCCCACCTACTTGGGACGCTGAGGCATGAGAATCACTTGAAGCCAGGAGGCAGAAATTGCAGTGAGCTGAGATCTCGCCACTGCACTCCAGCCTGGGCGACAGAGTGAGACTCTGTCTCAAAAAAAAAATAACAATAATAAATAATAACAATAGACAACAATTGTCAAGATGGATTAAAAATATCTAGCTCTATGCTATTTACAAGAAGAATACCTTAAACGTAAGGTCATTTAAAGATTGGAAGCAGAAAGACAGAAAAAACTTACCCTGCAGGCCGGGTGCGGTGGTTCACACCTGTAATCCCAGCACTGTGGGAGGCCGAGGTGGGCAGATCACCTGAGGTCAGGAGTTCGAGACCAGCCTGGCCAACGTGGTGAAACCCCACCTCTACTAAAAATACAAAAATTAGCTGAGCATGGTGGCGAGCACCTCTAGTCCCAGCTACTTGGGAGGCTGAGGCACGAGAATTGCTTGAACCCGGGAGGCAGAGGTTCCAGTGAGCCAAGATGGCACCATTGCACTCCAGCCTGGGCGACAAGAGCAAAACTCCATCTCAAAAAAAAAAAAAAAAAAAACCTTAACCTGCAAACGTTAACCAAAAAAGTTACTATTGTACTAGGATTCATCAAAGTAAACTTTTTTTTAATTTTTAATTTTGTTTTAAAGATGAGGGGCTCTCACTATGCTGCCCAGGCTGATCTCAAACTCCTAGGCTCAAGAGATCCTCTCACCCTAGTCTCACAAACGGCTGGGATTACAGGCGTGAGCCACCACACCCGGCCAATATCAAAATAGATTTTAAGGCAAGAAGTTTAATTAAAATTAAAAGGAATATTTCATAATAAAAAAAAGTCAACTAAATCAGGAAGATACAGTAGTCCTAAATTTGTTGCCACCCAATATATATAGAAACATAGAATAAAAGGGGAAAAATTCATCTACAATCACAGTGGGAGATTTTAAAAAATCTATTTCAGTAATAAAACAAGTAGACAAGTAAATCAATAAGAATGTAAGTTTTTTTTTTTTTTTGAGACATAGTTTCACTCTGTTGCCCAGGCTGGAGTAGAGTGACATGATCTCGGCTCACTGTAACCCCCGCCTCCCAGGTTCAAGTGATTCTCCTGCCTCAGCCTCCCAACTAGCTGGGATTACAGGTATGTGCCACCACACTCAGCTAAGGATGTAAGATATTTAAACAACATGATGAACACACTAGGCCTATTTGATATATGTAGAATATAAGAGCCAACAAATGCAAAGTCCACATTTAATGCACATGGAATATTTACAAAAACTGACCACATGCTGAGTCATTCACTGACCATATGGAATTAAGCTATAAATTAGTAACTTAAAAAAAAAACCAAATACTCAAATTTTTGGAAATTAATTGGTACACTTATAAAACAAACCCACGGGCCAAAGAAGATAACACAATGGAAATTAACAATATTTGAATTGAAATGATAATGAAAATATATCAAAACTTGTGGGGTATAAAAGGAAAAAACAATACAAAAAACAAAAAAGAAAAAATACAAACAAAAAAAGAAAAAGAAAAAGAAAAACTTGTGGGACACATTTAAACCTGTGGTTAGAGGGAAAATTTTTAACTTTAAATGTATTTAAGAGAAAAGAAGACTAAAAAATATCAATAAAGTATTCATCTCAAGAAGCTAAAGGAACAACTAAAATTCAGAGAGTAATGGAAGAAAATAATAATGAGCAGAAATCAATGAAAATACAAAACAAATGAACGAGAGAAAATCAGCAAAGCCAAAAGTTGGTTCTTTGAAAAAAGGCACAAAAGTGATAAAACACACCAAGACTGATCGAGGAGACAGAAATGGAGTGAAAGCAAGCACAAATGACCAATATCAGAATAAAAAATGAGACATCATCACTGATCCATCCTAGTCACAAGACAGTAGGTTGTTTTAAAAAAATTTCAAACTTTAAATGTGAGAGTTTACATAAAATGAACAAACTGCAAAATGCAACATACCAAAAGTGACCCAAGAAAAAACAGGAAATCTGAACAGCTTATGCTGATCAAAGAAATTGGATCGGAAATTAAAACCTTCCCACAGAGAAGGCCCAAAGAGCTTCACCGGGGAATTCCTCATCAAAATGTAAGAAAAAATAACACCAATTTTATCTAAAGTCTTTCAAAGAATAGAAAAAAAAAAAAGGAAAATGTCTCAACCTGCTTTCTGAGAGCAACATAAAACTTGATGCCAAAACCTGACAAAGTTACCACAAAAAAATAATAGGGCAGTCTCTCTCATGAATTTAGATGCAAAAGTTCTAATAACTAATATCAGCAAGTCAGATTTAGCATTATATTAAAAAGATGATACATCAAACCAAATTAGGTTTACTATGAGAATGTGAGGGCAATTTATCATTTAAACAGCAATCAATATATACCACAAATTAATAAAATAAGGGAGAAAACATATGATTCCCTTAATATATGCAGTAAAAATATTTGAGAAAATTTAATATCATAATATCATGATTAAAACTCTTCACAAACTATAAATAAAAGAGCCAGGTGGCTCTTTTATTACCTGGCCAGGCACGGCGGCTCACGCCTGTAATCCCAGCACTTTGGGAGGCTGAGGCGGGTGGATAACCTGAGGTCAGGAGTTCGAGACTAGCCTGGCCAACAATAGAGAAACCCCGTCTCTACTAAAAATACAAAAATTAGCTGGGCGCATGCCTGTAATCCCAGCTACTCGGGAGGCTGAGGCAGAAGAATCTCTTGAACCCAGGAGGTGGAGGGTGCCGGATCGTGCCACTGCACTCCTGCCTGGGCAACAAAGTGAGACTCTGTCTCAAAAACAAAAAAAATAAAAAAAATAAAATACCTGGAAAAGATCAGCATGATCTTAAGTTAGACAAAGATTTATTAAACAAGAAACAAGGGCAATAAGAATAAAGTTTAATTACTAAATCAAACTTCATTAAAACAAAGATTTTCATCACAAGACACCATTAGAGAGTGAAAATACAAGCCACAGTCTAAGGAAGACTCTAATACAGATACCCAAAAAAGAACTCACTCAAAATATGTAAAGATTTCTACAATTTAATAGATGGACAACCTAATAAAAATTTCACAAAGGCCTTGAATAAAGCACACTTTGCAACAGAAGATTTTCAAATGTTCAATACAGGGATTCACCATCACTGGTTATGAAGCAAATGCAAATTCAATCCAAAATGACATATTATTACACTCCCACCAGAATGACAAATTTTTAAAACTGACAATAGCAAGTATTGGTAAAAATGCAGGACAATGGAATTTAACACTATTGCTGGGAATGTAAAACTGGTACAATCACTTTCAAAAACTGCCAGAATTTACTAAACCTAACATGCATATCCTATGAACCAACAATTCTACTAGGCATATACCCAATATATAAGTGTATATTTTTATATCAAAGGACAGAAACACCCAAAATGTTAACAGCAGCAGCATTCATAATTGTCCCAAAGTGAAATAACCCCAATAACCCAAATGTCATCACAGTAGAATGGGTAAATAAATGTAGTATACTCATAAAATAGAATTGCTATTCAGCAATAAAAAAAATGAG
The DNA here is from genome assembly GCF_000001405.40 of Homo sapiens. Classification (NCBI taxonomy): domain Eukaryota; kingdom Metazoa; phylum Chordata; class Mammalia; order Primates; family Hominidae; genus Homo; species Homo sapiens. Next base: position 24,807,465 of record NC_000002.12, on the reverse strand, counting down.
CACTATAAGCAGAGTGTAGGTGAATCTCACAGTCAGAACATTCAGCAAAAGAAGCCAGACATAAGAGTTTGTACTTTTTAAGCTATAAATTAGCTTTTTAACATTTATATAAAGTTCAAAATCAGGTAAAACCTATGTATGGTGACAGAAATCAGAATAGTGGGTACCTTAAGAGAAGACTTAAGAGAAGACTAGGAAGAGGCAAACTGGAGGCTTCTGGGTGTTGGTAATGCTCTATACTTTAATCTCTGTCATAGTGCACTTCATATATATTACACTTTAATTAAAAAAAAAGAACGGAAGAAGGGAGGAAGGAAGAGAGGTACAGGTGGAAAAGGAAGAGGGGGAGGAAGGCTGATATCCAATGGGCAATGAAGGGTTGTTGACGGCTTTTGAGCAGAGCAATGGTGCGGTGTTTCATGAAGCATTTTCTTGGCTGTGCAGGATTTATTGGAAAAGCAGAAATACTAGAAGATGCACCAACTGGCAGACTACTGTCATAATCCTGATATCCAAATCACCTGATATTTACTCCATATATGACTAATATTTGAGCTGTGGCAATGGAGGAAGGACAAAGGCAATATAAAAGAAAAATCTGATAGGTCTTGCTGACTGAACCTAGGCTAGAGAGAAAACTGAAAAAAGGGAAGGGTCAAGCTCCCTAGGAGGTTGAGTCTGGATGACAGATGTCAAAAATGACACAAGTATCAACAACTCAAGGCAGGCCACTTTAAGTATTGGTAAAAATGCAAAACAAGGGAAATCTTATACAACTATTGCTGGGAATGTAAAACTAGTACAATCACTTTCAAAAACTGGCAGTATTTACTAAACCGAATATGCATATCCTATGACTCAGCAATTCTACCAGGCATATACCCAATATGTATATGATTGAGGTAACAAACTTAGGTGTTTATTAGGGCAGGTTAAGAACCTGTCAGGAAGAACTTGCCTGGCTTACCAGTAGTGCCTGACAAATGTTAGGTGAGGGGGTGGAGCCAAGATGGCCGAATAGGAACAGCCCCAGTCTACAGCTCCCAGCGTGAGCAACGCAGAAGACGGGTGATTTCCGCATTTCCAACTGAGGTACCAGGTTCATCTCTCTGGGAAGTGTCGGACCGTGGGTGCAGGACAGTGGTTGCAGCACACCGAGTGTGAGCCAAAGCAGGGCGAGGCATCGCCTCACCCAGGAAGCGCAAGGGGTCAGGGAGTTCCCTTTCCTAGTCAAAGAAAGGGGTGACAGACGGCACCTGGAAAATCGGGTCACTCCCACCCCAATACTGCGCTTTTCCAACGGTCTTAGCAAACGGCACACCAGGAGATTATATCCCGCGCCTGGCTCAGAGGGTCCTACGCCCACAGAGCCTGCTCATTGCTAGCACAACAGGCTGAGATCAAACTGCAAGGCAGCAGCAAGGCTGGGGGAGGGGCGCCCGCCCTTGCCGAGGCTTGGATAGGTAAACAAAGCAGCCTGGAAGCTCGAACTGGGTGGAGCCCACTGCAGCTCAAGGAGGCCTGCCTGCCTCTGTAGACTCCACCTCTGGGGGCAGGGCATAGCAAAACAAAAGGCAGCAGAAAACTCTGCAGACTTAAATGTCCCTGTCTGATAGTTTGAAGAGAGTAGTGGTTCTCCCAGCACGCAGCTGGAGGTCTGAGAACAGACAGACTGCCTCCTCAAGTGGGTCCCTGACCCCCGAGTAGCCTAACTGGGAGGCATCCCCCAGTAGAGGCAGACTGACACCTCACACAGCTGGGTACTCCTCTGAGACAAAACTTCCAGAGGAACGATCAGGCAGCAGCATTTGCTGTTCACCAACATTCGCTGCTCTGCAACCTCCGCTGCTGATACCCAGGCAAACAGCGTCTGGAGTGGACCTCCAGCAAAATCCAACAGACCTGCAGCTGAGGGTCCCGACTGTTAGAAGGAAAACTAACAAACAGAAAGGACATCCACACCAAAACCCCATCTGTACGTCACTATCATCAAAGACCAAAGGTAGATAAAACCACAAAGATGGGGAAAAAACAGAGCAGAAAAACTGGAAACTCTAAAAATCAGAGCGCCTCTCCTCCTCCAAAGGAACGCAGCTCCTCACCAGCAATGGAACAAAGCTGGACGGAGAATGACTTTGACGAGTTGAGAGAAGACAGCTTCAGACGATCAAACTACTCCGAGCTACAGGAGGAAGTTCGAACCCATGGCAAAGAAGTTAAAAACCTTGAAAAAAATTACACGAATGGCTAACTAGAATAACCAATGCAGAGAAGTCCTTAAAGGACCTGATGGAGCTGAAAACCATGGCGTGAGACCCACGTGACGAATGCACAAGCCTCAGTAGCCGATTCGATCAACTGGAAGAAAGGGCATCAGTGATGGAAGATGAAATGAATGAAATGAAGCAAGAAGAGAAGTTTAGAGAAAAAAGAATAAAAAGAAACGAACAAAGCCTCCAAGAAATATGGGACTATGTGAAAAGACCAAATCTACGTCTGATAGGTGTACCTGAAAGTGATGGGGAGAATGGAACCAAGTTGGAAAACACTCTGCAGGATATTATCCAGGAGAACTTCCCCAAACTAGCAAGGCAGGCCAATATTCATATTCAGGAACTACAGAGAACGCCACAAAGATACTCCTTGAGAAGAGCAACCCCAAGACACATAATTGTCAGATTCACCAAAGTTGAAATGAAGGAAAAAATGTAAGGGCAGCCAGAGAGAAAGGTCGGGCTACCCACAAAGGGAAGCCCATCAGACTAACAGCTGATCTCTCGGCACAAACTCTACAAGTCAGAAGAGAGTGGGGGCCAATGTTCAACATTCTTAAAGAAAAGAATTCTCATCCCAGAATTTCATATCCAGCCAAACTAAGCTTCATAAGTGAAGGAGAAATAAAATCCTTTACAGACAAGCAAATGCTGAGAGATTTTGTCACCACCAGGCCTGCCCTAAAAGAGCTCCTGAAGGAAGCACTAAACGTGGAAAGGAACAACCGGTACCAGCCACTGCAAAAACATGCCAAATTGTAAAGACCAGCAATGCTATGAAGAAACTGCATGAATTAATGGGCAAAATAACCAGCTAACATCATAATGACAGGATCAAATTCACACATAACAATATTAACCTTAAATGTAAATAGACTAAATGCTCCAATTAAAAGACACAGACTGGCAAACTGGATAGTCAAGACCCATCAGTGTGCTGTATTCAGGAGACCCATCTCATGTGCAGAGACACACTTAGGCTCAAAATAAAGGGATGGAGGAAGATCTACCAAGCAAATGGAAAACAAAAAAAAAGCAGGGGTTGCAATCCTAGTCTCTGATAAAACAGACTTTCAACCAACAAAGATCAAAAGAGACAAAGAAGACCATTACATAATGGTAAAGGGATCAATTCAACACGAAGAGCTAACTATCCTAAATATATATGCACCCAATACAGGAGCACCCAGACTCATAAAGCAAGTCCTTAGAGACCTACAAAGAGACTTAGACTCCCACACAGTAATAATGGGAGACTTTAACACCCCACCATCAACATTAGACAGATCAACGAGACAGAAAGTTAACAAGGATATCCAGGAACTGAACTCAGCTCTGCACCAAGCGGACCTAATAGACATCTACAGAACTCTCCACCCCAAATCAACAGAATATACATTTTTTTCAGCACCACACCACACCTATTCCAAAATTGACCACATAGTTGGAAGTAAAACACTCCTCAGCAAATGTAAAAGAACAGAAATTATAACAAACTGTCTCTCAGACGACAGTGCAATCAAACTACAACTCAGGATTAAGAAATTCATTCAAAACCACTCAACTACATGGAAACTGAACAACCTGTTCCTGAATGACTACTGGGTACATAACGAAATGAAGGCAGAAATAAAGATGTTCTTTGAAACCAACGAGAACAAAGACACAACATACCAGAATCTTTGGGACACATTCAAAGCAGTGTGTAGACGGAAATTTATAGCACTAAATGCCTACAAGAGAAAGCAGGAAAGATCTAAAATTGACACCCTAACATCACAATTAAAAGAACTAGAGAAGCAAAAGCAAACACATTCAAAAGCTAGCAGAAGGCAAGAAATAACTAAGATCAGAGCAGAACTGAAGGAAATAGAGACACAAAAAACCCTTCAAAAAATCAATGAATCCAGGAGCTGGTTTTTTGAAAAGATCAACAAAATTGATAGACCGCTAGCAAGACTAATAAAGAAGAAAAGAGAGAAGAATCAAGTAGACGCAATAAAAAATGATAAAAGGGATATCACCACCGATCCCACAGAAATACAAACTACCATCAGAGAATACTATAAACACCTCTACGCAAATAAACTAGAAAATCTAGAAGAAATGGATAAATTCCTGGACACATACATTCTCCCAAGACTAAACCAGGAAGAAGTTGAACCTCTGAATAGACCAATAACAGGCTCTGAAATTGAGGCAATAATTAATAGCCTACCAACCAAAAAAAGTCCAAGACCAGATAGATTCACAGCCGAATTCTACCAGAGGTACAAGGAGGAGCTGGTACCATTCCTTCTGAAACTATTCCAATCAATAGAAAAAGAGGGAATCCTCCCTAACTCATTTTATGAGGCCAGCATCATCCTGATACCAAAGCCTGGCAGAGACACAACCAAAAAAGAGAATTTTAGACCAATATCCCTGATGAACGTCGATGCAAAAATCCTCAATAAAATACTGGCAACCCAAATCCAGCAGCACATCAAAAAGCTTATCCACCATGATCAAGTGGGCTTCATCCCTGGGATGCAAGGCTGGTTCAACATATGCAAATCAATAAACGTAATCCAGCATATAAACAGAACCAAAGACAAAAACCACATGATTATCTCGATAGATGCAGAAAAGGCCTTTGACAAAATTCAACAACGCTTCATGCTAAAAACTCTCAATAAATTAGTTATTGATGGGACGTATCTCAAAATAATAAGAGCTATCTATGACAAACCCACAGCCAATATCACACTGAATGGGCAAAAACTGGAAGCATTCCCTTTGAAAACTGGCACAAGACAGGGATGCCCTCTCTCACCACTCCTATTCAACATAGTGTTGGAAGTTCTGGCCAGGGCAATGAGGCAGGAGAAGGAAATAAAGGGTATTCAATTAGGAAAAGAGGAAGTCAAATTGTCCCTGTTTGCAGATGACATGATTGTATATCTAGAAAACCCCATTGTCTCAGCCCAAAATCTCCTTAAGCTGATAGGCAACTTCAGCAAAGTCTCAGGATACAAAATCAATGTGCAAAAATCACAAGCATTCTTATACACCAATAACAGACAAACAGAGAGCCAAATCATGAGTGAACTCCCACTCACAATTGCTACAAAGAGAATAAAATACCCAGGAATCCAACTTACAAGGGATGTGAAGGACCTCTTCAAGGAGAACTACAAACCACTAATCAACGAAATAAAAGAGGACACAAACAAATGGGAGAACATTCCATGCTCATGGATAGGAAGAATCAATATTGTGAAAATGGCCATACTGCCCAAGCTAATTTATGGATTCAATGCCATCCCCATCAAGCTACCAATGACTTTCTTCACAGAATTGGAAAAAACTACTTTAAAATTCATATGGAACCAAAAAAGAGCCCCCATTGCCAAGACAATCCCATGCCAAAAGAACAAAGCTGGAGGCATCACCCTACCTGACTTCAAACTATACTACAAGGCTACAGTAACCAAAACAGCATGGTACTGGTACCAAAACAGAGATATAGACCAATGGAACAGAACAGAAGCCTCAGAAATAATGCCACATATCTACAACTATCTGATCTTTGACAAACCTGACAAAAACAAGAAATGGGGAAGGATTCCCTATTTAATAAATGGTGCTGGGAAAACTGGCTAGCCATATGTAGAAAGCTGAAACTGGATCCCTTCCTTACACCTTATACAAAAATTAATTCAAGATGGATTAAAGACTTAAAAGTTAGACCTAAAACCATACAAATCCTAGAAGAAAACCTAGGCAATACCATTCAGGACATAGGCATGGGCAAGGACTTCATGTCTAAAACACCAAAAGCAATGGCAACAAAAGCCAAAATTGACAAACGGGATCTAATTAAACTAAAGAGCTTCTGCACAGCAAAAGAAACTACCATCAGAGTGAACAGGCAACCTACAGAATGGGAGAAAATTTTTCCAATCTACTCATCTGACAAAGGGCTAATATCCAGAATCTACAATGAACTCAAACAAATGTACAAGAAAAAAACAAACAACCCCATCAAAAAGTGGGCAAAGGACATGAACAGACACTTCTCAAAAGAAGACATTTCTGCAGCCAAAAGACACATGAAAAAATGCTCATCATCACTGGCCATCAGAGACATGCAAATCAAAGCCACAATGAGATACCATCTCATACCAGTTAGAATGGCGATCATTAAAAAGTCAGGAAACAACAGGTGCTGGAGAGGCTGTGGAGAAATAGGAACACTTTTACACTGTTGGTGGGACTGTAAACTAGTTCCACCATTGTGGAAGTCAGTGTGGCGATTCCTCAGGGATCTAGAACTAGAAATACCATTTGACCCAGCCATCCCATTACTGGGTATATATCCAAAGGATTATAAAACATGCTGCTATAAAGACACATGCACATGTATGTTTACTGCGGCACTATTCACAATAGCAAAGACTTGGAACCAACCCAAATGTCCTACAATGATAGACTGGATTAAGAAAATGTGGCACATATACACCATGGAATATTACGCAGCCATAAAAAAGGATGAGTTCACATCCTTTGTGGGGACATGGATGAAGCTGGAAACCATCATTCTCAGCAAACTATCGCAAGGACAAAAAACCAAACACCGCATGTTCTCACTCATAGGTGGGAATTGAACACTGAGAACACATGGACACAGGAAGGGGAACATCACACACCGGGGCCTGTTGTGGGGTGGGGGGAGGGGGGAGGGATAGCATTAGGAGATACACCTAATGTTAAATGAAGAGTTAATGGGCGCAGCACACCAACATGGCACATGTATACATATGTAACAAACCTACACGTTGTGCGCATGTACCCTAAAACTTAAAGTATAATAAAAAAATTAAAAAATGTTAGGTGATATTCACTGTAACTCTACCGGATTTTTGTTTTTTTGAGACGGAGTCTCACTCTGTTTCCCAGGCTGGAGTGCAGTGGCTCGATCTCAGCTCACTGCAACCTCCGCCTCCCAGGTGCAATTCGTGCCTCAGCCTCCTGAGTAGCTGGGATTATAGGCGCCTGCCTCCATGCCTGGCTAATTTTTGTATTTCTGGTAGAGATGGGGTTTCACCATGTTGGCCAGGCTGGTCTCAAACGCCTGACCACAGGCGATAGGCCTGCCTCGCCTTTCAAAGTGCTGGGATTACAGGCATGAGCCACCGTGCCTGGCCAAACTCTACAGGTTTGATCATTTGAGGGATCAAGGACTGCAATCAATCCAGTAAGATCACAAGTAAAACACATTATAAAAAATGGCCAATTCACCAATTCCCAAATCACGTTTGTTCATTATACTCTAAAGGAACTGCTGATACCACCCTTCTACTCACGCTGGCTCGCCGGTGCCGCACCACAGCCCTCAGCTCATCTCGCAGACGCCTTAGTTTATGAATCTTGGTTCCAAGAGCACCTTCCTGGGCCTGCACGCTCTGCAGCTCTTCAGACTGTTTACGGGATCTGCTCACTTGGGTCTCTAGCCTTTCCAAGTGAGCTAAAACACCTAAGGAGAGTAAAAGGAGAATTTTACAAGAAGCTGAGGATTTCTCACTGTGGCAACAGGAAGCATCTCAGGGAAGAACAGGTGACTCTTTTTTTTTTTTTACCAGAACTTTGTGGCCAGCTGAATTGTTAGATATCTGTCAATTTATAAAACCAGGGGAGCTAACAATTGAAATCAAAGATCATCAACCTCCTAGGTTGGAGAGTGATGTAAAACAGGATCCTCCTCAAAGACAGCCCGAGAGAGGATATGAACTATCACACGCTGATTAGGCAGCAGTGTCTTATCTAGGTCTGCAGTTTATCGCAAATCCACATCTCTAGTGTGTAAAGGATGATTCTCTAGCTTTACCACAGGCCGGAGAGAAGCCCTCTCACAGCCGAGGGCGGTGGCTCACACTTGTAATCTTAGCACTCTGGGGGGCCAAGGCGGGTGGATCACCTGAGGTCAGGAGTTCGAGACCAGCCTGGCCAACATGGCAAAACCCCATCTTTACTAAAAATACAAAAAATTAGCCGGGCATGGTGGCGCATGCCTGTAATCCCAGCTACTCGGGAGGCTGAGGCAGAATTGTTTGAATCCAGGAGGCGGAGGTTGCAGTGAGCCAAGATCACTGCACTCCATTGGAGTGCCATTGCACTCCAGCCTGGGGGACAGAGCAAGACTGTCTCCAAAAAAAAAAAAAAAAAAAAAAAAAAAGGAAGCCCCAGACTTTATTTAATCGAGCTTCTTAAGTACACCCAGCATCTATTTTGTAGGGTTCATATGGATGAACATATATGAAAACCTTAATCTTCTCTCCTTGCCTTGGGACGGAATCCAAAAACTTATCTCATTCACCTATCCAATTAAGACTAGAAACCTCTTATGGTTTTTATGGCTAATAAAACCATTAAAAAAAAGTATGTGAGATCGGGCCGGGTACGGTGGCTCACGCCTGTAATCCCAGCACTTTGGGAGGCCGAGGCGGGTGGATCACGAGGTCGGGACATCAAGACCATCCTGGCTAACACAGTGAAACCCCGTCTCTACCAAAAACACAAAAAATTAGCCGGGTGTGGTGGCGGGCACCTGTAGTCCCAGCTACTCAGGAGGCTGAGGCAGAAGAATGGCGTGAACCCAGGAGGCGGAGCTTGCAGTGAGCCAAGATCGTGCCACTGCACTCCAGCCTAGGTGACAGACTCCGTCTCAAAAAAAAAAAATTTGTGTGAGATCAAATAGAAACAGACACGCACTATATGCAGAATTATCCTATTTTACTCATTGAGGCCTATCCCCTTGCTTTCTCAGAAACCCTAAATGATCAGTTACCCTTTTCTCTGCTGTGTTCATTTCCCTTCCACACACGCTCAAGTCTCAACTGTCTTCAAACACACACTCATATATATATATATATATACACACACATACACACACACACAATTTCATACACTCACAGGCCTATTCTTGCCCACAAATCCCCTTCAGCTACTATCTCCCTTTTCTCCCCTTTCCTTTCCAGGAAAACTACTTAAAAGAGTTGTCCATGCAAGTTGAGTATCCGAACGTTTTGGGACTAGAGGTGTTTCAGATTTCGGAATTGGGAGTATTTGCATTACACTTACTGGCTGAACATCCCATATCTGAAAATCCAAAACTGGAAATAAGCATTTCCTTTGACCATCATGTCAGTGCTCAAAAAGCTTCAGATTTTGGAGTATTTCAGATTTTGGATCTTCAGTGCTCAACTTGTACTCACTTTCTCCATTTTCTTGCCTGTGACTCATACCTCAACCCACTTGAAACTCACTTCTGTTCCCATTATTTTACAAAACCACTCTAAGATCAACAGTGATATCCATGTTGCTGAACCCAAAGGACATTTTTCAAGCTCCCTTATCTCACCTCCCAGCACTATATGCTCCTACTGATCACCACCTTCACGAAACCCTCTTTTCCTCTGAATCTTAGCATAGCGGCCTGTTGGTATGCCTTGTTCAACAGATGTTTATTAAGCATCTATTTTGTGCCAAGTACTATTTCAGGCACTGGGAACATAGTGATGAACAACAGACAACCTGTTTTTGTGACACTTACATTTTACCTCTCTGACCCCACTTTCTGCTTTGAAGGCTCCTACTCTCCTCCTTGACCATTAAATGCTGAAATTTTCCAGAGCTCAGTCCTAAGACCTCTTCTTTCCAGAAGAAATCTCATCAGTACCCACAGCCTTAATGGCCATACATGTCGATGCCACACAAATATGTATCTCTAGCTTATACCTCTCTCCTGCTTCTTGAGAAAGCAGAATATCCACCTGCCTTCTCAGTGTATCTACTTGGAAGACTTACAGGAACCTGACAATCAACATGTCCAAGACTGAATTCATCATCTCCCCTTCTAAACCCCTCCATGACTGGAACCATTATCCATCTATAGCTGTGTAAACCAGTACTTTCTTCCTCACACCTTCTCCCTGACCCAGTCCCAATCCATTACCAGATCCTATTGAATATACATTCCTAGTATCTCTAAAATATTTCCATTTTCCCCATCTGCAATGCCACCATTGTAGTTCAAGCTACTACCATTTCTGGCCTATTACAAGTTTCCTAGGTGGCCCATACACTGAAGCCATATTTCAAAATCTAAACTGGATCGTGTCATCCAGCTGGCTAAAGCCTTTCGATGACTTCACACTGCCTACGAGGCCTACTGGCCTCTGGATCTCTCTTACCCTCATCAGTATCATGCTGCTCCTTCTCTAGGCATTTCCACACAGGCCTCCTCTCAGGCTCTCAAACCCGCCCAGCGTCTTTACTGACCTGATCCCCCCACCCCCAACACACACACCAAAGGCTCTTCCACAGCCGCCCCTTATCCACCTTCACCTGCAGCTACTCTAGCTCGTTAGCACTCAATGCAAGCAGCATTTCCTCAGGGAAACCTTTGTAGCACCTTCAGAACAAGGTCAGGTGCCAGCTCATAAGCTCTCAAAGATCCTTCTGAGACAATACTATAGTTTTTTTGTTTTTGTTTTTTAAATAAAGAGATGGGGTCTCACTATGTTTCCCAGGCTGGTCTCAAACTCCTAAGCTCAAGCGATCCTCCCACCTCGGCTTCCCAAAGTGCTAGGATTACAGGCGTGAGCCACCGCACCCGGCCACTATAGTTTTAATTGTATATTCATTAGTGTGATTATTTGATTTGCTTATCTTTTCCACTGAACCTTAAAGTTCCAAAATCAGGGACCGTGTGCATTTGTGTTCACCCATGGATCCCTTAACCCTAGCACAAAGTGTTTACACATGGTAAACACTCCGGAAATGGTTATTTTTTTCTGAGACGAAATCTCACTCTGTTGCCCAAGCTGGAGTGCAGTGGCGCGATCTCAGCTCACTGCAACCTCTACCTCCCAGGTTCAAGCAATTCTCCTGCTTCAGCCTCCCAATTAGCTGGGACTACAGGCATGCACCACGATGCCCGGCTAATTTTTGTATTTTTAGTAGAGATGGGGTTTCACTATGTTAGCCAGACTGGTCTTGAACTCCTGACCTTGTGATCCACCCGCTTTGGCCTCCCAAAGTGCTGGGATTACAGGTGTGAGCCACCGCGCCCGGCCAACACTCCGGAAATGTTTACCGAAACACGGACAACCAGGCATGACACTCTTGGAGATTACATTCACTTGGCTCATGTCCACAGAAAAACCCACATTACCGCAATAATAATCGTGAGAAACCAAAATTCTAATTAAATAAATTAGTCCTAATAATTAGCACGTGATTAACTGCTTTATTCACCAATCTCTATTTATCCAACAACTATGCATTGAGAATTTACTATGGACCAAGGACCGTGCTGGAAGTTATTCATACTGTGGTGGCAAAACGAAGTCCCTGTCCTCACGGAGCTTACAAAAATTAATGTCCAACCAGGAGGTGATCTGAAAAGCACGCACACATAGAATAATTTAGGGTGGTAGAGGAGACGCCTCACCAAATTCTACTTTATGGAAATTCTATATTACTAAAACAGTAGATATCAATATTCCCAAAGTTTCTGAGATAAGTAGGTGTTCAAAACAGTATCATGCTGCTCCTTCTCTAGGCACTTCCACACAGCCCTCTTCTCAGGCTCTCAAACCTGCCCAGCTTCTTTACCGACCTGATTCCCTCTACACCAAGGGGGTAGCGTTGTTGTTTAGCGTTGCTACTACAGAAAAGAGGGAGTGTATCTGCTGGGCCTGCTTTACCTTGGAAGTTATGATTGCATCTCATCCTAGCCAGTCAGCTTTGTCCCAAAAAAAGTCAAAATCCCTGCCTATTTGAATAAATCATCTGGTTGCAACTACAACTCCATGTCCTTCCTTCTCAAATGAGTGGGGAGAATTCAAATAATAAGCAAAAAACTGAAATCAAACAAGCAGAGGGATAAAACCAGTATGGGTAACAGCTAAGTGTTTAAATATTGTTTTGGGTAGAGAATAAGGAGACTGGTCTAAGTCTCTTGATAATCCAAAACTTCCACCTCATCACTTACTTTAACAGAAATGAAATAAGGCCTGGACTAGAGAACAGGTTACTCCTGAGTGTAGCATGTTTCCACTACATAAAGTCACCAAACTTATTTTTAGTCTTAAAGTAACAATAAATCTTACCCCATATACTTTTATTATCTAAAGTCTCAGCTTAAGTCATCTTAGGCTGAATATAGTTACTTCTCTGTTATCAATGATAATGATGACCCAGAGAAAAATAGGATAACCAAATTCACTGACGCGCTCAGAAATTCTTTTTAAAACTGTAATTTAAGTTAGGTTTTATGGCAAGCTTTCCCAAAGTACTAACGTAGAACCCTTTGGATTTAGGCATCAGGCTTGAGTAAGTATTTCAAAGTTCTAAAAAGTATTAGTAGCAAAGAACATAAAGTCACACAAAACCAGAACTGTCCACAAATATTACTAGGCACTAAAGAAGAAAGCAACTTACTCCTGGACAGAAATTCAAACGCAAATCTCAGTTTCCAAAGGATTGACTAAGGACTAAGTAAAAGTAATAGTTTCGTAATTCTAAGCAACTCTAACAAGCATTCTTTAAACACCTTCTACATTTTAAGACACAAAGTATGTAAAGAATTAAGCCTTTCATTGAATATTTCCTATATATTAGACATGTGCTAAATGCTTCACTTGAAAAGTCTGAGTTCAATACTTTTCCACCACAAAAGAAATACTTTTTCCACAACCACAACTACAGTGCTATTTTCACCTCCATTTTCCAGATGAAGAAACAGAGGCAGAGAATAAAGTGACTTGCCTAAGGTCACAATATTTATCATGGCAGAGCCAACACTCAAAACCAGTTCTAGCCAACACTAAAGTCACTGCCCTACACTGGCCCTCCCTCAAGAGTAATGCATACATGGCCCAAAAAATCCGGGGAGAGGAAAGGGACCTCCCTGGCTAGAACCGCAGTTCAGAATATAAACACTGAGCATATGATGGATGCAACTTATCCGTTTCAAAAGGGGTGGGAGCCTAGAAACGAAGCCATTTTTCCTCCTCGAATAATCTTGGCTGCCTGTCCCTTTGTCTTCAATGTTAGTTCCTTTCACTATTCTGCTCCCAAACAGGCCAGGTCCCACGTCAGTTCCAGGAGGAAAGGGCTCTCTCAGCCTGCGGGTCATCTTTGGGCAGCAGCAGGAAGGAGGCGGCGACCCTCTGAATACCTCCTTTGGACTCGCCATCTGGACGTAAAGGGTTCGCCTGCTCCATCTCAGATTCCCAAGGGCCTTCCCATGAAGTTGTCTAGGCAACCGGTGATAGGGACTCCAATGTCCTTGCTAATAAAAGAAAAATGGCAACAGTCACATCACATCTAGTCCCATTCAAACCCAGACGGCAGGGCACACACCACTCAGGCACAACCCCTGGGCCGCGGATGACACAAATGTCACGGCTAGGATCCCCTTTCCTGAGCCGCCCGCCCTCTCCCATCGTCCGAGCCAGCAGAGTCCATGCCCACCCCCGCGCCCATCCCGCGGCCCCGGCGCGCTCCCGAGGCCACGGCTACTCTGGTCCAGCGGGCTTCCCGGCCACGGAAGGAGTTTTAAGAAGGCCGTTCAGCCCGCCACCCTGGCCACGGTCCGGTCCGACAATGGGTCTTTCCCCTACCTTCTCCCTTCTAGCTCACCCAGGCCAGAAGCGAGAATTCCCGCCATCCACGTCTTCAAAACCAAACCAACCGGTCCCGGCGTGCTTTGCGATCCTGCCGTACAAAAGCATGGCGGCGCTCAGGGCCCCGCCCTGATCCCAAGATGCACCGGGGAGTAGGTCCGGCCTTTCGGGTGGTCAGGAAGATGGCGGCCTCTGGGGCGGAGCCGCAGGTCCTGGTACAATACTTGGTGTTACGAAAGGATCTATCACAAGCTCCGTTCTCCTGGCCGGCGGGCGCACTGGTAGCGCAGGCTTGTCACGCGGCCACCGCGGCCTTGCACACTCACCGCGACCACCCGCACACAGCCGCTTACCTCCAAGAGCTGGGGCGCATGCGCAAAGTGGTCCTCGAGGTGAGGCACTCGGGCGGAGGGGGAGGTGCTGAGACATCGAGGGCGGAAGTGGGTGTGGTCTTCGGTCCGAAGGCCTGGCTGCGGGGAGTGGGTGCGGCGGGAGTTGGGGTGATCGTTAACATTTAGACTGGAGCTGTTTCCCTGGAGGTGCGCCCTTGGGAAGGGCCTGACTGTGTGAAGAGTGGACAGCAGTCCTCCGCCCCCTGCTGGGCTCGCGGTAAAGTGGTGGCTCCTGTGTCCCCGCTGTTCCGCCTGTGCACTGGCCGACTTTTTAAAGCCATGCCCCAAAGTGCTGTCCTCCTGCAAAACCGAGCCCGAAGGGACAGTGCAAAGTGAAGTCAAACTGAGTATTTACCTGGGTAGGACGCCAAATTATTTGAAAATAAATACTAAAAACGTTAGTATAAATTGAACCTAGCTTCAGCTAGACCAGGCACCAGGTGTGTAAATCGGTACACCTTTTAAAATAGCAGTCAGGTTCTGTTTGCAGATGACCAAACAAATCTCACCCTTACCCTTTGACTCTCTATCCTGCTGCTAGAGATGTAGCCTAAGAAAATAATCAGATGCACCCAAAGAGCTTTGCACAAGGATATTCATGGGAGCCCTTATGGTTTTGAAGCATATTTAGTGGTCGGGAAGAGTGCTCATGATGCGAAGCTAACTGAACTATATATACAGAATGATCCAGACTTTGAAAGGAAAAACTAAAGAAATACATCTACATATTAAGTAGTGCATGGTGAGATTTTGGTTATTTCCTAATGCTTAATCTGTATTTTTAAAATTTTCTACCTTAAGCACATATTTTATAATAAGGAAAAACGGCTTTAATAATAAACGGCTTTTTATAATAAGGAAAAACGGCTTTAAGCCAGAACTCAGGTGGAGGGGTGGAGTAATCCCTTCATGGGTAACTGACAAAGATAGATTATCTTTCAAGAGAAAAATTGCTGCTGGATAGTGAAACATCAAGCGGTAACCTGTAGGAAAAATGCCTTGAGAATCTGTGTAGGCAGAACAGAAGCTGCTGGCTTTTCACTTAGATTTTCTTCCTAGTAAGAGGTCTCAAGAAATCAGGTTAGACTCCTCTTGTCGCAGGTGAAACTCTCTGAAGCCTACAGGGATTAAGTGACTCCCCTGAGTTTAAAAGAGGGTCTCATGATTCTTAGTTGTTAGTCATGACTCAAGAAAGGGACTTAGGAGTCGCTACTGATTACATTGAGGTGCCGCTGTAGTCAGAAGGGCCAATAAAATATAAGAAAATACCAGGATTAACTACATTTATTGAGTGCTTAGTGTGTGCCAGGCACAGGTCCAAGCCTGATTTCATTGATCCCCATTAGGAAGCATTATTCCTGTTTTATAAAGGGACGAAGAGGCCAGCGAAGTCACCTAACTTATCCACGATCACACAGTCAGCAAGAGTTTGGAGTCCAGTAGTCTGATTCCAGAGCCTCACTGTATCTCACTATGCTCTGCTGCTGCCCGAGGCTGAAGAAGCTGATGAGTCCTCCAGCAGAGCTCTGCCAGAAGGACTCAGCAGGTTAAGAGTCGCAATACTGGCATTCTCTAATTTATTAAAACAAGCCTCTGAGTAGCTTAGTGGCTTCTGCCTTCATAGGTAAGAGATAAACTTTATGCAAAATAACACAAAAATAATAATTTTCTGAGTGATCGTTTTAATACTTCCTGGAATGGGATTCAGCATGGGTGAATTGGCAGTAAGGATGACCCAGAAACAATTTCAGAAGGATGTTAGAGAATATTGTACTCTCCCTTTAATAAACAAGTGGGAGCCATCCCAGCAGAAGGAAAACCCCTCTAGGTTTCAGTGAGGTAGAGTGGGAGGGGTGGAGGAAAGTGGAAGTGGATGTGCTTTTAGAAATCCTTCCACTAGGGGCCGGGCATGGTGGCTCACTCCTGTAATCCTAGCACTTTGGGAGGCTTAGGTGGGTGGATTGCTTGAGGTCAGGAGCTCCAGACCAGCCTGGGCAACATGGTGAAACCCCGTCTCTACTAAAAATACAAAAATTAGCCAGGTGTAGTGGTGTGCGCCTGTAATCCCAGCTACTCGGGAGGCTGAGGCAGGAGAATTGCTTGAACTCGGGAGCCAGAGACTGCAGTGAGCTGATAATCGTGCCACTGCACTCTAGCCCAGGCGACAGAGCAAGACTCTGTCTCAAAAGAAAAAAAAAAAAAAACTTCCACTAGGCAGCTCTTAAAGTCAGAGGCACTTAAAATTATGGGCGCCAGCCATAGGAGAGCTGGAAAATGTATAGAGCAGAATTACACATTACACATGTGTGTGTTGGGCATACAACATCTCACAAGGGAAGATACAAATCTCCATTTTCTAAACTGGAATATGAAGCCTCTCTCCCCTCCCCAGTGCACCACGGAATGACATCATTGCTCTGCAGCTCCCTCCTTGGTAAAGCTGTTACTCCACTTTCAGGCAAGAGGACTCCCGAAACCTTTTTTGGCCTTTTGACACTTCCTAAGTGGGCTATTCAGTTTGTGTTCTGTGTTCTTCTCCTTTAGGCCCCAGATGAGACCACCCTAAAGGAGCTGGCCGAGACCCTGCAACAGAAGAACATTGACCACATGCTGTGGCTTGAGCAACCAGAGAATATCGCCACTTGTATTGCTCTCCGGCCCTACCCCAAGGAAGAAGTGGGCCAGTATTTGAAGAAGTTCCGATTGTTCAAGTAACTGCTGCTTTGATGTGTTTGAATACGCAGGCCACCCATTCCAAAGCATCATGTGTTCCTTGCAGTGTCAGCTTGCTCCCGTCTTTCAGTTGTGACAATTTCTTGAGGGTTAAGCACATGTTCATATTAAAGTTGTCATTAATAACTACTTCCTCTTATTAATAAGTTCAAGTGGGGAAGGTGGGAGAGCAGTATTGTCTGGGGATCATTGCTCAAATAGAAGATTTGGTTAGACTCTCCTGTGGGGCTCAAGGAAACTCCCTTCCAGTCACTCGGGTTTGAAACTTTGCTTTTGAATTCCTTCTTATTCACATCCAGTTATCATATTTCATTGAATCTAAGATAACATCAACTTTAAGATGCGGTAGTATTTTATGTATTGTTAAAAAATATGCCGGCAAATTAAACACTTGTATTTCAATAACAAAGATGTTAAAATTTGGCCAGTGTGGTGGCTCACATCTGTTAATTCCAGGGTTTTGGGAAGCCAAGGCAGGAGGATCGCTTGAGCCCATGAGTTCAAGGTTACAGTCAGTTCTAATCATGCCACCGCACTCCAGCCTGGGCAACAGAGTGAGACACTGTCTCTATAAAGATTAATAACAAGTTAAAATTTGTGTGTGTCTATATATATGTACATACATACAGATTTATTAGATTCAATGAAATCTGTCAAGTACTACAGCTGTTTTCTTGTCATTTCAGTGCCGTTGCCCTGTGTCAGCCTCTCATTTTGCTCACTGGCGTGTCCCACGGTCTGTTCACCGCCAGTGTGACACTCCAATCCAGCAGCTGCTTTGCCACCACATAGGACGACTGAACACCTACCTGTGTAGTCTAGGCTCCTCTCTGCCTATGGAGTAATCCCAGCACTCCTTAGCTTAGACTTCAGGCCCTCCTCATGTGTATTTCCTACCTATCTTTTTTGTTTTTTCGAGATGGAGTCTCTCTCTGTTGCCCAGGCTGGAGTGCAGTGGCGCCATCTCTGCTCACTGCAACCTGCGCCTCCTGGGTTCAAGCCATTCTCCTGCCTCAGCCTCCCGAGTAGCTGGGATTACAGGTGCATGCCACCATAGCTGGCTAATTTTTGTGTTTTTTTAGTAGAGACGGGGTTTCACCATGTTGGCCAAGCTGGTCTCCAATTCCTGACCTCAGGTGATCCGCCAGCCTCGGACTCCCAAAGTGCTGGGATTACAGGTGTGAGCTACCGTGCCCGGCCTCCTACTTATCTTTTTAGTTGAATCTTCTATTCCCTTATTCAAACTTGATGTTTCCACAGAGTCCCTCCAGTTGCTATTCTCCAGTCTCTGGCATGGGAGTTGAATGTTACTACTCCTCCCCTCCCTTTCCTGCCCCTGGACTTTACTTAAACTATTTCCAGCTCAAGTGCTATCACTGCCAAAAATTCTTACCAAGCCAAAAATGATAGTTCCTTCTCTGAACATCTGTAACACTCTGTACAACGTTTACAATATTTCTATAAACATTTGGACACATCTACAGAAATTGCTTAGACATCTGTGAAGCAAAGTTTATAAGGGGTAATTTGTTCAACAGATATCTATTGTTTGTCTGCTGTGGCAGGCTGTGCATAAAACAGTTTTGCCCTCAGGTAGCTAAGAACCTATACGGATATTACCCGTCCCCCTTAGATAATGTTCTGCTAAGATCCCAGATAAGATTTCCCTTCATGGGCCCGGTGCAGTGGCTCATGCCTATAATCCCAGCACTTTGGGAGGCTGAGGTGGGAGGATCACCTGAAGTCAGGAGTTTGAGACCAGCATGACCAACATGGTGAAATCCTGTCTCTACAAAAAAAAAAAAAAAAAAAAAAAAAAAAAAGATTTCCCTTTAAGAAAGGTGGTCACCTGAATCAAGGAGAGTGGATGGGTCTCTCTCACAGGGAGAGTTGGTAGAGTGCTGAGGGCAGAGCCAACCCCAGGAAGCCAAGTGAATGAGGAGTTGAAGGGGTAGAGAACAATCAAGTGCAGCATAGAATGTCAGTAAATAAAACGTGGAAACATTTAGCAATTGGGAATGTACTGGTGAACTTAGTGAAGTTTAAATAGCATAGTGAGGGTAGAAATCAGATTGTAACATGTTGAGACAAGAATGGGAGGCCAGGCGTGGTGGCTCACACCTGTAATCCCAGCACTTTGGGAGGCCAAGGCAGGCGATCACGAGGTCAGGAGTTCGAGACCATCCTGGCCAACATGGTGAAACCCCGTCTCTACTAAAAATACAAAAATTAGCAGGGTGTGGTGGCAGGCGCCTGTAATCCCAGCTACTCGGGAGGCTGAGGCAGAAGAATTGCTTGAACCCGGGAGGCAGGGATTGCAGTGAGTAGAGATCGTGCCACTGCACGCCAGCCTGAGCGACAAGAGCAAAACTCCGTCTCAAAAAAAAAAAAAGAATGGGAGGGGAGGGAGGTAAGAGGTGAGAAGTGTCCTTTCCAGAAGCTTGAAAGGGAGGAGAGAGAGGATAATGACTGAAAAGGGGCTGGAAAGATCAATGCTGGGTCCCCTAGTGGGGATTTTCTTAGATCTTGAGCAGGATGATGGGTGAGGAGGAGAAAGTAAGGAGAGGAGAGATTAAGAGATTAAAGTTCCCAAATAGAATAACTGATGAAGTCCAGAGAAAACAGGAAGAGATGGGGTCAAAGGCTACGGGAAGAACTGGCCTTGAACTGAGAGAGGGGAAACTTCTTTTCTGAGACTGGTGGAAAGGCAGATGGTGAAGATATAGATGTACGTAGGTTTAATAGATTGTAGGAGAAAGAAAGTTGAAGTTGACCATACCTGCTGACTTTTTTTCTATTAAGTAGGAGGCATATGCACTATACTCAGCAAACTAAAGCAGCAACAGAAAACCAAATACCACATGTTCTCACTTGAAAGTGGGAGCTAAATGATGAGAACACATGAACACACAGAGGGGAACAACACACACGGGGACTGATTGGAGGGTGGGAGGAGGGAGTGGATCAGGAAAATAGCCAGTGGGTTCTAGGTTTAATACCTGAGTGATCAAATCTGTACCACAAACCCCCATGACGCAAGTTTACCTATAAAACAAACCTGCACATCCTGCACAGGTACCCCTGAACTTAAAAGTTTAAAAAAGTAGGAGGCATACGATCTTTCATAACACTGAATAAACTTATTGAGCACTATATTAGCTAGCATAACAGTGAGTAGGAGCCTAGGCTTTGGTGTCAAACTGCTTGAGTCCAAATCTGGGTCTCATACTTTCAAGCTCTGTGGACTTGGGCAGTGACTCTATTTCCCTGAGACCCAGTTCCCTTATCCGTAAAGTGGGGATTTAAATGTGTTTGGATGTACAAACCCCTTAGAGCAGTGCCTGGGACTTCGTGCTAGAACCTAAACTTGGGAAGATGCAGATGGCACAGCCGTCAGAGCTGCCCTCCAAGAGTTCTCCATCAAGTAGGCCATTGTCTACCCCTTTCTGTTAGGGAGTGATGCCATCCAGGAATCATCAAGTACCATTTCCATTCAAGCCAATTAGGAAAATGTTTCTAAATGACACTGCATCTTAAAAAAAATTAAGTTCTGAATTCTTCAGTAAGACATAGTATAAAGCTAGACAGGCCAGGTGCGGTGGGTGGCTCACGCCTATAATCCCAGCACTTCAGGAGGCCGAGATGGGCGGATCAAAAGGTCAGGAGTTCGAGACCAGCCTGGCCAACATAATGATACCCCGTCTCTACTAAAAATACAAAAAAATTGCCGGGCGCAGTGGCTCACACCTGTAATCCCAGCACTTTGGGAGGCCGAGGCGGGCGGATCATCTGAGATTGGGAGTTCGAGACCACCCTGACCAACATGGAGAAACCCCGTCTCTACTAAAAATACAAAATTAGCTGGGCGTGGTGGCCTGTAATCCCAGCTGCTCAGGAGACTGAGGCAGGAGAATTGCTTGAACCCAGGAGGTGGAGATTGCGGTGAGCCAGAGATCGCGCCATTGCACTCCAGCCTGGGCAACAAGAGTGAAACTCTGTCTCAAAAAAAAAAAAAGTTAGCCAGGCATGGTGGCACGTGCCTGTAGTCCCAGTTGCTCGGGAGGCTGAGGCAGTAGAATCTCTTGAACCTGGGAGGTGGAGGTTGCAGTGAGTCGAGATCGTACCACTGCACTCCAGCTTGGGCAACAGAGTGAGACTTTGTCTGGGGGTAAAAGAAGCTAGACAGAAATGAGACACAGCTGGGAGTTAGCAGATTTAGGCAAATCCGTAAAGCAGAGATCTGAGCACAAATAGCATAAATGTCTGCCCAAGGGTGGGGAAGAACAGGAACTCATGCGCTGACGCTGAGTGAGAGCAAGACAGCAGCAGGAAAGCAATAGATTTTCTTATTGGTATCAGCTTAAGACCATGATCATTTGAACTAGATCAGTGGCTCTCAAAGCGGTGGTCTGGTCCCTAGATCAGTACCACTTGGGTACTTGTTAGAAATGCAAATTATCAGGCCCCACCCCAGACCCACTGAAGTGGAGGCTCTAGTGCTACCTAGAAACAGCCTGGGCCCTGGAGACAGCCAACCTAAAAGAGGAACAATAAATGTGTGTGGTTTAGAATCAACACATTATGAGAGGGTATTAAGTGCTCACAGGAAGGAGTCAAATAGCAGAAATCTGGCACCAAGTGCACTGTATTTGGCCATGCATACTAAGGTTACAGAAAATTATGATTTCTCCAACAGGGCAAAGATGTGCTGCAAACCCTAGAATAGACGCTATATCCTTGAAAACAATCTCCTATGCTTTCATAGATTTCTTTTTTCTTTCTTTCTTTTTTTTTTTTTTTTTTTTTTCTGAGACAAGAGTTTTGCTCTTGTTGCCCAGGCTGGAATGCAGTGGAGCAATCCTGGCTCACTGCAACCCGTGCCTTCTGGGTTCAAGTAATTCTCCTGCCTCAGCCTCCAGAGTAGCTGGGATTACAGGTGCCGGCCACCATGCCCAGCTAATTTTTTGTATTTGTAGTAGAGAGGGGGTTTTATCTGTCACACACATCCCTGTGAAGAGACCACCAAACAGGCTTTGTGTGAGCAATAAAGCTTTTTAATCACCTGGGTGCAGGCAGACGGAGTCCGCAAAAGGAGTCTGCAAAGGGAGATAGGGGTGGGGCAGTTTTATAGGATTGGGTAGGTAGTGGCAAATTACAGTTAAAGGGGGTTTTTCTCTTGCGGGCAGGGGTCACAAGGTGGCCAGTGAGGAGCTTCTGAGACTCATTGTCCAGGAGAAGGAATGTCACAAGGTCAACTGATCAGTTAGGGTGGGGCAGAAACAAATCACAACGGTGGAATGTCATCAGTTAAGGCAGGAACTGGCTATTTTCACTTCTTTTGTGGTAATTCAGTTGCTTCAGTCCATCTGGAGGTATACGTGCAGGCTTGGGCTCAGTGGCCTGACATCATCATGTTGTCCAGGTGGTCTTGGACTTCTGACCTCAGGTGATCCACCCGCCTCAGTCTCCCAAAGTGCTGGGACTACAGGCATGAGCCACCATGCCTGGCTGGTAGGTTTCTTATATGTGAAAAACATTGTATAATTAACAAAGTGCTCCCATATGAATCAATCCTGACAATTGTTGTGATGCAGGCCATCTAGTCTCAGAGTTTACAAGATTCAGAAAGGCTTTGACTTGCCAAGATCAAAGACAATGGCAGGACTGGGATTGAAAAAAAGGTCTTTTGTCAGTTCAGTTTTTCTTTTTTCTTTTTCTTTAGATAGAGTCTTATTCTGTCACCCAGGCTGGAGTGCAGTGGCACAATCTCCGCTCACTGCAACCTCCGCCTCTTGGGTCCAATTGATTCTCCTGCCTCAGCCTCCCGAGCAGCTGGGATTACAGGCATGCACCATCATGCCCGGCTAATTTTTGTATTTTTACTAGAGACGGGGTTTTCCCATGTTGGCCAGACTGGTCTCATACTCCTGACCTCAAGTGATCCGCCCACCTTGGCCTCCCAAAATGCTGGGATTACAGGCATGAGCCACTGCACTCAGCAGTTTTTCTAATCTCTTGTAGTTGGTTAACAATTTGGTTTTCCAGCCATATAGATACTGGAGGGTAGTTTGAAAAGGGGTCACGAGTAGTTCAAGTGCTGAAAAGCTGTATCTTCCATTTTTAATTGGTTAATTGACATTCTGGATTATAAATCAGCCTCCTGCGACTGTAAGTTTTCTGACTCAACACCCTAGAGCCCAATTATCACTGGATGAGCTGACAAAGTTGAGTTTCTGAACTTATAAAGCTGAGGGTCAAAGCCTAGGTCACCGCTTCTCATGGCGCTGGCAGAGCGCAGAGGGCTCCCCTCCAGGGGCAGGTTAAGAATTGCCTGTTTTATTGTCTAATCAACACAGAACTTTCCCACAGGTTCTGAGATGCTGTCCTAAGGGTGTGAATTCCTTCTTGCTTCCTGATTGAGAATCTTGGTAGTAGTGAGCCATCGTAACCGACAGGAAGGTGTTAGTGTGGATAGATGGTTGAGAACCACTGCCCTCAGCTATGACTGCCTGACAGGTTTTAGCTGTCCTCTGAGGTCAAGCTTAACACAGCACCAGCTTTTGTCCTTCTTTAACATCCAGATATGGTGGGTTTTGACTGCTGGCCTAAGGCTGGATTTTAGCTGAAGGGATTTTTTGTTTGTTTTTTTGAGACAGAGTCTCCCTCTGTTGCCCAGGCTGGAGTGCAGTGGCGCAATCCTGGCTCACTGCAGCCTCTGCCTCCCAGGTTCAAGCAATTCTGCCTCAGCCTCCCAAGTAGCTGGGACTACAGGCACACACTGCCATGCCCCGCTAATTTTTGTATATTTAGTAGAGACGGGGTTTCACCATGTTGGCCAGAATGGTCTTGATCTCCTGACCTCATGATCCGCCCACCTCAGCCTCCCAAAGTGCTGGGATTACAGGCATGAGCCACCGCACCCGGCCAACTGAGGGGATTTTTAAGGGTCAAATAAGTGGCACCCAAGTTCTGATCCTAGGTTCTTGAGAAATGAGACAAAAAGCAGATAAACAAAATATCACTTTTTTTATCAATTGGTTAGAAGATATAGCTTTATGCGATGGCCTAAATAGGATCGCTAGTTCCCTATCTTAAGGAAAAGTGTGAGTATACAGAGTAGATACTTCACCAAAGTTGATGCTTCCGACTGGTAATGTGAAGTAAGGATAATAAGAACAAATTCCCCATATTCTATCAAACTTTGATAGATTGGTTCCACTCAATTGACAGACGTGGACCAAAGGCAATCACCCACCAACTAGGTTATTCTTTTAACCTCCATGAGGAGGAAGAGTAAGTTAGAACAATAGAATAGGAGCATTACGTCAATTAAAAAGGAAGAAAACACTGGTTGGCGATGAAACATTCTACCTCTGCCCCAACACTGGACGTAAGGAATAAGAAGTGCTCGTGATAAAAGTGGAAGATTAATCTGGCAACAGAGGCAAGATGTTATTTCCTGGGAATGGGAAGGAAGGCTGGGACATCAGTCAGGAGACTCTTTGAAATATTCAAGACACAAGACTGTGATGATGTGGCTGCAGGAACAGAAATTGAACCATAGGAAATATGCTGTTACTTCTTTGTGATACAAATGGAAAGAGCAAGGCAGGTGACAATCCCAGAAGACTTAATGTTAAGACTCAACTCTGCATGTAATGGCTAAGGAATTTAGCTTCAGTTTCCTCACCTGTGAGTAAGTTTTAGCAGGATTGTGAAGACCAGTTTAAACCATACCCTATAAAAGCACTATCTAACAATCACCACAATTTAGTCTCTTTTAATGCCATCTTCATACTTATTTCTTTTTCTCATCTTATTGCACTGGCCAGGACTTCTAGTGCAACAATAGCAGTTTAGCAGGTGTCTCTGACTCGCGATTGAGTTTAGTGAGAATGCTCTGAGACCTT